>NC_000010.11:9858484-10010000 GCF_000001405.40 Homo sapiens | reverse complement strand
TTAGATCCTTATGCTGCTTCTATTTTTCTATACTCAAAAACCTGAAAATCCTTTTTCAGAGTGAGACACTAAAAATCGAATTGGAATTTACTTGTAAGTGGTCAAGGATTATTGATTCCTGGGCTTATAATAGTGTGAATGTGTGATACGCTAGTGTCTAGCTTTTTTACTGAGAATAAAATGTAATTGTTAATATGCATAAGTCCCCTTTACTGGGGTAGTTTAGTTTCCCTAGTACTCAGATGCTGTGCTGTGCTCACCTGGTTAAGGTGAGCTAGAATCCCAGCCACTTCCATTCTAGAAGTGGGTGGAGGAAAGTAGCTGGGAGCCCAGTTGTCTCCTATGTAGATTTTCACTGAGTTTTTATTTTCAACACCTGTCTTTTCTTCTCCCACTTCTCCTTGTAAACCCTCTCTGATATCACCGAACTCCCAAACACTTTTCCTCAAATTTTCTCTCTCCTGCCAACAGAATGAGTAGCCATCTGGTCTAAGCATTACATATCCCTATTTTCAACCATTTCTATGTTTTTATTTAGCACCTGGCTTACTGCTTCTGAGGTAAATCAGGTTTCCAGTTCCTAAGCATCTGGGCATTCCATGAGAAAAAAGGGAGTTGCCTCTTACTGGTTTCACCTCTGTAGTCACATAGGTTATAACTTCTTTTCTAAACCAACCAGTTATTCTTCCATCTTGCAAATTGTTAAAATCACTTATCACTGTTGTGATTTCTTCCCCCTATTTCTTTGCCTTTGTGAATTTATGCCCTTATTATTATATTACTGTTATTTTAGTTGAATTTAGCAAAGTAGAGGGAAATAAACCATGTACAGCCACTATGCCATATTAAGAAGCCTCACATCACCACCATTTGCATTTACAGTATTTGCACTCCTTGTTAATGATTCCTATTAAGCACTTAAATAGTTGGTAGTATGTGCTAAGCGAGGTTGATTAGCTGTGATTTTCCTAACTTATTTGAACACTTTAATATATTTTCTTAACATGTCATGTTTGAGCCCATTGTATTTTAATTACATATTAAGCTACATACGCCACATCTCATGAATAACTAATTACCGATAAATAACTACATTTATGTATGTAAGTGAACTTCAAATAGATACTGATAGAATAGGGCCATAAGTCCATTTAAGAATTGACTTATTAAAATGAAGAAAGATATAAAACCATGGGTTACTAATCAATTTGGATTTTTTTTTTTTTTTGGCAAACATGAAATGAACTGAAAAGTCACTAAAATTTTTTCTAGGACTTTCTTTTTTTATTAATAGCACTAACTACCATATTCATTTATTTGTAGCACTTACAGTGCCTAAAAATACACATTTTAAGTAACGGTTCATTGATTTGCTCACAACCCTACCTTTTCTGAGTTCTCATTAGCCTAAGGATTCAAATGAGCCCATTTTAATTTTAATGCACAAATCTTGCTTTTTAAATTCTCTCTTCTTATTTATCCAGGATGAAAACTCTCCTTAAAGTAACTCCTTCCATCCCTTCAAATATTTCTCAGCTACTTGAGGCAGTGATCACCCATCCTTAGCATTGATGTGAATTGCTCTCCTGACCCTTTGCCCCTGTTTCTCCTCCAAGCCAACTCTTCTGCTGGTCTAAGTTCAATGTGGAACCGCAGCTCACTTGGGCCATTCTAAGATTCCACTAGCCACACATTTCTATATGCCTTAGAAACTTACCTTTAGGCAAGCTCTGTCTCTGTGTTAGAACCTTCACCGTACCATCACTGGTAATGCTTGCTTCCACAGCTCTGACTCACTACTGGTGATTACCACAGCTGCAGCTGGTCTGGGCTCTGCCCTGAGCCACCTGGCACTACTGTCATTTGAAAACCCGCTGGTGCACATCTTTGCTGATCACTGCGCTCGCTAGAGCTGCCAGTTCCCAGCCAGTCTCTGGTGAAGTAGGAAAGGAAATGGATCTCCCGCCCCCCATGCATGAAGCTCTGCAAGGTTCCAATGTGTTACAGGGTTTAATTAACAATGTTCTCATTTCACTCAGAGGCATTTTCTCTCCGTGGCTAGCACATACCTTCAAGTGGCAGTGTCAGAATGGAATCAAGACCTATCAAAACCGTCATTTCCTTTTGATCCTCATTTTCAGACAGCAGCAGTTTTCAACCAGGGATAATTTTGCTTCCTAGGGGACACCATCAATATCTAGAGACATTTTCTGTTGTTATTATTTGATGGTGGGGGTGGGTGCTCCTAGCATCTTGTGTGAAAAGGCCAGGGATGCTGATAAACTTTCCACAATGCAGAGGACAGCTCCCCATGACAAGGAATTATCCATTTCTGCCAAAATGTCAACTGTACCAAGATGGAGAAAGCCTGTTATAGAGAAATGGAATGGAATGGGCAGATGCACCTCAGTCATGACAAAGAAATCCTACGAAAGCCAATCTATCTGTGGCTGATACACAGATTTTTTTTTTCTTCAGAAATGAAAGCTTTTGGAAGTCATCCAAAACAAACTCACTGTATACCTAGTTCTGCTTTAAGTGCAGAAATGTAATAACAAGTTTCCAATGTAATAATAGCTCCAGAATTTACAGAATGACATGAGTGAACACAATTGTTCGAATCCTAAGTTTTTAGCAGGATTATTTCATACAAATTTCTGTCATGCACAAAAATGCTTCCCTTGGCTTTAAAAATAAATTCAAATAAAGGGAGGTAACTGTGGCTTAGGATGATATAATAGTGACTGATATGTCTCCTTTCACCTTTCCATGAGGGTATTTTTTATAAAGAAAATGTAAAAGAGCACTAGGAACAAAGGCTAACAAAAAGAACTTAGGGTAGCATCTGAAAGAATCTCTACAGGCCAGGCATGGTGGCTCATGCCTGTAATCCCAGCACTTCTGGAGGCCAAGCCGGATGGATCACTTGAGGTCAGGAGTTCGAGACCAGCCTGGTCAACATGGTGAAACCCCCGTCTCTACTAAAAATATAAAAATTAGCCTGGCATGGTGGTGCGTGCCTATAATCCCAGCTACTCAGGAGGCTGAGGCAGGAGAATCGCTTGAACCCAGGAGGTGGAGATTGTGGTGAGCTGAGATCATACCACTGCACTCCAGTTGGGCAACAGAGTGAGGCTCCATCTCAAGAAAAAAAAAAATCTCTACCAAATGCAAATGAATTGACACTGAAAACACCAGCACCTGAGGTAGAAGACCATGGCTGATGCTGATGGGGAACTAATTAAATAAGGCTCTGGCCTGCTTTACTGTTTGGTGTAGTTTTGGGGCTACAATAAGCAGAAATCCAGGAGTTCCCGTGCCTTTCCTGTCATCTCCATGGTGTGGGAACTAAACTGTGAAGTAGCCAGAAATGCTGTCTTTCTACGTTTTCATCTCCGCCTATTTTACCCTAACTACATTTCTTTTCATATCTTTCAGCATGCAGTCTTGGAAGAGGGAGGAGGTAATAGTATTTTGTCTCCTGAAATGAATATATAGCCATGCACAATACTAAAGTTAGAGTCAGGGCTACAGGGTGTGTTCTGGAAGCAGTGCATGCATCCAGGTCTGCAATGTTTTTCCTCTGGACAAAGTAGTACATAAGACCACCTATTTAGCAGTACATCAGACCACCTATTTGGCAAAGAATTTGGCAATCTGGACCTCAGCGGACTAATTTTGTTCAAAAGTGTCACACTCAATGGCCTCCTGCTTAGTAATACAAATTGCATTTGGAGTTGTAAAGGGCAATCTTCCATCTCTCTCAGGTGTGAGAAGGGGAATCAGGGGGCATCTAAGTGAACAGTGAAGAAGGTTGGGGATATGATGTCTGTTGACATGTCCTGGGAGAGTATACAGATGGCTTGTATTCATTTCTTATTGCTGCTTTCCACAAACTTGGTAGCTCAAAGTAACACGCATTTATTATCTTACAATATGGAGGTCTGAAGTTTACAATGGTAAAAATCAAGGAGTCAGCAGGGCGGTGTTACTTCTGGAGTCTCTAGAAGACAAGTGCCTTCCTTGCCTTTTTCAGCTTCTACAGGCCACCTGCAGTCCATGGCTCATGGTCCTTCCCCTGCCTCCAGAGCCAAAAGTGGCTGGTTAAGTCGTTTTCATGCTGCCTCTGGTTCATTCTCAACTCTTGTCTTTACATATTTCCTGGCTCCCCCTTTCTTTTATAAGAACCTTGTGACTTCATGGGCACCACCTGTCAATCCAGAACAATCTCTCCAACTCAAGATCCTTAACTCAATCACATCTGCAAGGTCCCTTTTACCATTTGAGGTCACATATTCACAGGTTTTGAGGATTAGGATTAGGATTATTTTATATATATATATAAATATATAAAAAACTTGTTATATATACATATAATATATATAATATAACATGTTATATATGTAATATGTTGTATATATAAAGTATATGGAGGAATTCTTGGCACAAGATAGGATGTATATATACATTTTATATATATACATTATATAATATTACTCTCTCTATATATATATTCTGATTTAACCCTCCCAAAGGAGGCTGGGTGTGGTGGCTCACACTTGTAATCCCAGCACTTTGGGAGGCCAAGGTGGGAGGATTACTTGAGGCCAGGAGTTTGAAGCAAGCCTAGGCAACATAGTAAGACCTCAACTTTATAACAAAACAAAACTCCCAGAGGCATTATAAGGTTGATGTAGTTATCAGACACAGGTAAGAGATGCTCACCTTCCCACTCCATCATTCCTTTTGGATTGGCCCAGTGGAAATGAACTTCTCCAGGCCTGTGCCCAACAGGGAAGGGCAGGGTCAGCTATCAGGGACAGTACGAATATTCAGTATGTGCTAAATAAATTTATTTAAGAGCTAATGTTTTATGTTTTTCCTGACGAGATATTGATGGTGGGGCAGAATTGGGTATTTCTATTTCAGTTAAAATTTTTTATTAGTATAAAACCCTATCAGTAGATGTCATTTGATCAGATGTAAAAAAAAAAAAAAATCGTAACTCTATGAAGTCCTCAACAGGAAGCTGATGTCTTTATCTGTTATTTTAATTGGAATTTATCAATATATACAAACGCATACCTGCGAGAGTTTGGAAGCTCATGCAGAAGCTCATGCAGGGGGTGGAAGATAACAGCAAGTTGGAAAGGATCCTTATTCTAAAAAAAGAAATCGCAATACTTTTCCCTCTTGCCATCCTTTTTGTCACTTTGTTCTACTTTTATTGACTTCCTGAACCGTGTATTCTGCTTGTCTGTCTATACCCCTGGTGTGCATCTGAAAAAAAATGAAGCAAATCTATTTTAGTGTCAGACAAACTTGGGTTCAAAGATGGGGTTTTGCCACTTCCTGAGTATGTTTCTAATATTGTGCAAATACCTTCACTGGGCATCAGTTTCCCATCAGTAAAATGGAGAGAAATAAGTTGCCGGTTTTGAGACAGTATTATTAAGCTTTGGTTATATTGCAGAGTAGAGGGTTGTGATATGAAACATATATTTAGTCTTGACCCTGTTTCCTGGCAGACAACTTCTAAAATCCTCAAAGTAGTGCCTTTGTGTATGTTAATAAGTTGGCTTGTGGCTGGAAGCCCCTAGAGAGCTTCAGGATGTGGCTGCTTACCAGAAAGGCCAAGGCACAATTAGAAGGTTGGGAATTTCAGCAGAACCTCTGGGAAGAGGGAAGACATCGAAGGTTTCACCAATGGCCAATGGTTTAAATAGTCACACCTATGTAATGAAAACCTCCATAGAAACTCAACAGGACAGGGTTCAGAGAGCTTCTGGATAGCTGAGCATGTGGAGGTTTCTGGAGGGGGTTGCACCCTGGGAGGGCATGGAAGCTTCACACCCCTTGCCCCATACTTCGTCCCATGCATCCTTCATCTGTATCCATTGTAATATCCCTTCTAATAAACCTAAATGTAAGTAAGTGTTTCCCTGAGTTCTGTGAGCTGCTCTAGCAAATTCACCCAACCCCGATTTACAGCAACCTGGTCAGAAGCACAGGTAAAGCCACCTAGAGCTTGTGATTGGCATCAAAAGGAGAGGGCAATCTTGGAGATTGAGCCCTCAACCTGTGGGATCTGACGCTACCTCCAGGTAGATTGTATCAGAATTGCATTGAATTAGAGGACACCCAGCTGGTGTCCACTGCAGAACTGATTGCTTGCTTGGTGTGTGGAAAATAAAATCCACATAAACCAGTCACAGAGGTCTTTAGTGTTGACTATTGGGTGAGATGAGCGAACACAAGTTTTGTTTTGTTTTGCTTGGCCTCAGAGTGGTCAAAAAATGCTGAATCTTTTTTCTGTTATTGCTAATGTTTTTATGATTAAAATGATATTCAGCTCCTTGTGTTTGAGAATTTAATAGTGCGTGGAAAGATCTTAGAACATCCAAAAAAATTATTTTATATAAATGCTACCTAGTAATACTATTGTCTTTTTGCCAATTATGGCTTTATTAACATCAGCTTATCTTTGCTTCATGGTTTCTGCCTATGTTTTTTAACCAAAGCTTTCCCTTTTCCTATCTTAGCAAAATACCCAGACTTTACATTCAATTTTCTTACATTGTGATACTTCTTGCTTCTCCTGATATTAAAACCCTTGATCCTGATCAAATCCAAATAAGCTCATAATATCTAAAAACACCCTTCAACCTAAATAGCCTTCTGGAATCAGCTTGGCCTCTGCTGAATTTCCTTTGTTCCACAGTAATGAACACCTGGTATGACAATACCCTAGGCCCTATGAATATTATGAAATCATAATGCCAAGATATCATGTGATAAGTTGTCAGTCTGTGAGCTGATGAACTTTTCCACATCCATTTCTCAGTCCTGATATAGAGCAAGGTATGACAAACTTTTTTTTCTGTAAGAGGCCAAATGGTAAATATTTCAGGCTTGGTGAGCCAGATAGTCTTTGTGGCAACTACTCAGCCCTGTAGATACGGTCCAGAAGCAGCCATAAACTATATGTAAATAAATGACATGGGAATGTGCAAATAAGACATTTTACAAAAGTAAGTGGCAGGCCAGATTTGACCTACAGCCCCACTGTGCCTACTTCTGTCTTCAATGGGGACAATATTTTCCTCACGGGAGCATAAACTGGATTTTGGTGCAAACAAATTATATTACTTTTCTACAAAGCACAGGGAATATATATATTACATATACAGTATAATATAGTATACACACACACACACACACACACACACATACACACACTCACACACATATCAGCAGTCCCCAAATTTTTTGGCACCAGGGACTGGTTTCATTTCATGGAGGACAATTTTTCCATGGACTAGGGGGTTGGGGGATTGTTTTGGGGTGAGACTGTTCCACCTCAAACCATCAGGCATTATATTTTCATAAAGAGCACACAACCCAGATCCCTCGTATGCACAGCTGACAATAGGATTCATGCTCCTATGAGAATCTAATGCCACCGCTGACCTGACAGGAGGTGGAGCTCAGGTGGTCATTTGAGCCTTGGGGAGCAGCTGTAAATACAGATTAAGCTTTGCTCACTCACCTGCTGCTTACCTCCTGCTGTGCGGCCTGGTTCCTAAAGGGTCACAGACTAGTACCAGTCCATGGCCTGGGGGTTGGGGACCCCTGAATATAGTATAAAAACAGATTATTCTGAGTTGAAGTGTCTTCCAAATGTACATACCTACCTTGATCCTTGAAAATGGGGTTGTATTTGGCAATAGAGTGTTTGTAGATGTAATCAAAGTAAGGTAAAGTTGTGTTGGATTAGGGTAGGCCCTAATCCAATGACTAGTGTCTTTACAAGAAGATGGAAGTTCGGCCGCATAAACAGAGGGAAGGTGATGTGAAGACGCACAGGTTGAATGCCCTGTGATTGGAATGGTGCATCCACCAGCCGTGGAATGTCAAGATTGCTGGTAACAACCAGAAGCTAGGAAGAGGCAGGGATGGATCCTAGAACCTTCAGAGAGAGTATGGTCCTGTCAACATCATGATTTTGAACTTCTGTCCTCTAGAACTGTGAGAGAGTATGTAAGCCCCCTAGTTGTTGGTTATTTGTTACAGCATTCCTAGGAAATGAATACACAGATACACAGTATATCTGCAGTATTTACATTGCATAGGAGTACAGAGGTGATTGGTGGAAAATGCTGAGAAACGTTTCCGGGATGACAATAATAAGTTAAGGAACACTGTTCCAGAACTGTCATTTTCTTTACCAGCTTGGCAGGGTTTCAGGCAGGAACCAAATTGTATTTTAAAAATATTAATACTTTCTGCTTCTCTAACCCTGGCTCTATGTCCACCCATGCAAACGTTGTTGATTGGGGTTCCTCTTCTACCTTTCTCTAAGGTTGCTCACACTCTTTGTGGGGGATGACCTTGTACTTCATCAGGTGGACTTGACTTTTGCCCTCTTCACCTCACTCTTCAGGAATGAAGACACAGAGCAGCCATGGTGAAACTGTTGCCTCAACATCAGGGGAGTTTGTCACCATCTCATAATGCTGACAAGTCGGGCTGTTCCAACTGTCATTCCCAACAGGAGGTGGAATGAGATATAACAGAGCTCTAATTCCAGGACACAACTGAACTTGTATTTCTACTGTGGACCAGATTATCAACCGAGTACTGTGAGCTCAATGTTATTAAGACTGATTTAGAAAGGATAAAACTGAAACTCAGAGATGCTGAAAACTTCCCCAAGGTCACATATGTTTGTGTTGTAACATAAGCTGTCAAACTCTCAATTCTGTGTTACTTTGAATCTAACATCCACATGAGATAAGGATCTAAGGGAACCCCATTGAAATCTACCATCAAAAGGGTTATGATTCTTTTAATTAGATGCTCCTGCCAGAATGAATAATGCTCAAAAAAAGCACCACAGAGATTTCTCACCAAGGAATTCTGTTGTCTGGGCACCCAAGAAATACCCTGGTGGTCAGCCACATGCACAGCAGGAAACACCTCTCTCCAGGCGTCCCAGGTTGACTTACGTTGGACCTAACTCCTGAGAATCCCCAGCTCTAATATCAGCTCCCTGTGTCCCCAAATAAGTAGCATGATTTATTCAATAAGTTTTGATTAAGAATCTTAAATATTTGAAGAAGGGGTGATGGAGGAATTAGGGAGAAGTCAAAGTGTACAAATTTACAGAATGTAGGATGAATTGTAGAGTTATGATGTAAAGCATGAAGACTATTGTTAAGGATATTGTATAATGTACATTTGCTCAGAGAGTAGATTTCAGATGCGCTTATCAAGCGCACACACACACACACACACGCACGAAGTAACTATGGAAGGTGATGGATAGGTTAATTTGCTTACCTGTGGTAATCATTTCACCATATATATGCATACCAAAACATAATGCTGTACACCTTAAATATATGCAAAAAAGAATCTTCAGTATGTTAGGCACTCTTCTAAGCCCTGGAGAAGAGGTAGTGGATTAAAAACAAATCTTGGTTCTCACAGAGCTTACATTATTATACATTATGTATGGTCATACCTCCATACATTATAGTGGGAATGGAGTAAACAGACAATAAATAAGTAAAAAGTAAAGGATGCCATAGAGTGCTACTAGTATAAGTGGTTAAGAGCATGGAACTAGACTGTGGCTCCACTAACCGAGTAACTGCAGGCAAGGTACCTTTCTGTACCTTAGCTACTGTATCTGTAAAATGAGGCTAATAGCAGAACCTACCATGTAGGATTGTTGAAAGGACTGATTGCTGGAAAACACTTAGATCTCAGCCTGGCACATATATATGGACTCATTATTATAAAGTAAAATAAAGCCAGAACTGGACCTAGGGAGTGTGGAGATGAACGATCAAGGAGAATGAGGTTTAGATTTAGAAAAAAGCTGGTTTTGAATCCTGGCTCTGCTCCTTGCTCTGTTGTCTTGAAGAAGATGTGTAATCTCTCTGAGTCTCAGCTTGTGGGGTTGTTTGTTAGGCTCTAAAATAGAAAGAACACTGTGGACCCTGTGGGTTTGAGATAGAATGAGAGGGACAGAATGCAATGGATAGAACGAAATAACATTGGTAAAGCTCGCAGTGGGCCTGAACATAGGAAAAATAAAAGATTCATGACTCTATTTTCTTCTTAACCCCTCAGCCATGGTTGGCAGCAAGCCATTCTCCAGCCTCCTGGATGTGGATGTCGAGCAGGCTTCTGGCATTCCCATGTGGCCCTAGTCCCTCCAAGAAAGCTTGGAAGAGCCATGATCAGAATCTGTCTTTTACTTGTGTCATTTAATAGAGCTCGCCTCTCCAAAGAACACGCTTTCAGAGTATCAGGGAATATCTCTATTTGTGGATAATTTGGATCTTGTGATATTCCCAGGAACCCTGGCTCCACAGTCACAATCCCATCAACACTCATTACATGAGCCTTGATGCTTCTCTGTGGCCTTAAAACCAAATAACATGACTACCTGACATGAGCACATGACCCAGAGATCAGTCTTGATGTCTGGAGAAAACCTGCACACTCTCAGTTACTTCAGGGTGGAGTCAGTGGGTTCACTCACAAGGATTTGCTAACGTGCCATTTTTTTTAAGGAAGTCAACATATTTTCTTGAAAAGTGTCTATTTGCTGAACCAGTCATTTTCTTTCCCAACATACAGGCATCCTTTGGTATACTCATTTCTTGTTAGGTCTGAAATCAGAAAATCTGCAAATTATCTCTTCTGATATCTAAGTGAAGTGAAGTTACAAGCTTAAATAAATAATAATGACAAAAATATATAATTTAAGGGTCCCAAAGTAAGTTCTGTATGGAAAAAAATGTTACGTATTCTTCTTTGTCTTAAAATTCTTTAAACATGTTCATTAAATTTGTCCTCAAGCAAGGTTATAAGAAGATAAACTGAACAGAACCATACAGAAAAGGCATGGATGCTTTTGAATTACGTAGCACTTAGTAAATCTTCAAACACCTATATAAAATCTTTAGGATTTTTCTAAACCATTTAACAACGTAACTCCTGGACTTAACCATGTGTATACTAGACACCATGCTATACCTCTGCAAAAAAAATTTTACTTTCAGATAAAAATACAGGTACACAATTGACCAGGTAATAACTGAAATCTAACAGATAAAGTACTAGGAAACCTTTTCTAACTGACAGAAAGCTACCTAGTAATATTGTTAGAGCTCACAAGTTTATCAAATTCATTGATATTTATTCCTTTCATATTATGATTGTATTAATCCATTCTCACACTGCTATAAAGAACTACTTGAGACTGGGTAGTTTATATAGAAAGCTGGTTTAATTGACTCACAGTTCCACATGACTAAAGAGGCCTCAGAAAACTTATAATCATGGCGGAAGGGAAGCAAGGCACGTCTTACATGGCAGCAAGAGAGAAGAAGAGTGAGGGGTGAACTGCCAAACACTTTTAAGTCGTCATATCTTGTGAGAAATCACTCACCATCATGAGAACAGCATGGTGGGAACTTGCCCCCATCAACCAATCACCTCTCACCAGGTCCCTTCCTCAACATGTGGGGATTACAATTCAAGATGAGTTTTGGGAGGGGACACAGAGCCAAACCATATCAATGGTTTACTCAAATTTTAGCAAGTTTTATGACTTTATGTTCAAAAAGATTGGCCATCCAATTCCAGTGAGTTTCCATTTCCTACAACTTCTTCAACTAAGTCAACAGAATCCCTTCTTCAGCTGCCATTTTGAATCTACATTGATTGCACTCAACTATTTGTGATGTGGGTAACCATGGCCTAGTCATTATGGGCACCTATCAGTTATAAATGCTGATTGAATCAAACAGTTACAATCAGTAACTGATTGAATGACTAATCAGTTAGTAATTCAAGTAAGAGGCCTTATTTTTCTTGATATAAAAAATTGTGTGGTCAGTTGGCTGCCAGCCTTGATGTAGCATTTCAACAATGCCTTTAAGGTTGGAAGTCTTTGATACCTTGTGTGTTGGCTTTTTGTTTTCATGTTGGTTGCCTTGTGGCTGCAAGGTGGCTGCTGCATCTCCAGGAATCACATTGGCGTTCAAGCTCAGAATAGGGAATAGGGACAACATGATTACATTTCTCTTGCATCTGTCAGAAAAGCAAAAAGCTTTTCCAGAAACCTTCTATCACATTGACTAGAACATTTAAGATGACACACCTTAAATCAGTGTGGACATATACCAAATACAGTGTAATAGATCATTCTTTTAGAATGCCTTTTCTTGTTTTATGTTTACATTTACCATAACAGGTTTTTTGCACAGGCATTTTTCCATGAATACTGTCACAAAGGCAATATTTTCCCCAATAAATGGAATGTGCTCATGGTTTTCTTTTGTAAAATGCCTAGCAGGGTAACAGCAGCCATGAGGTGCTACATGATGGCTTATTACAAAATGCTGATATCTACTAATAAAGAGCAATTGGATTTAATATAGTCAAAAGTCATGTCATTAAATCTATTTAGCATAACTAAGTATTGCAGTTGCTAAAGAGAGCCAGAAATCACAGTATGCAGGAGAGTAGCTGGAATCAGAAGTCTCTCCTAGATGATTCATTTATTCATTCATTCATTTGAAAAATATTTTTAAGCATTTAGGTGATAGAAAATGTGACACTTTCTGGGGATAAAATTGAATAATATGTGGACTCCAATTTTACATTTCTTATGTTTTTGGAATCTCCATGAGGGCAGCAATTTTATAAGCTTACTTTGTATTCTTAATGTCTAGAATGGTGGCTTATAGGTACCATTTAGAATTAACTTTGGCATACAATTTTATATTAAAATTATATAGAATATATACTTATATATTATCTATCTAGAATATATATATTTTTAAAATTACATATTTTTTCTCAATCTGAAATATGCTGACTTCTTCTTTTTTATTATTTCAGGCTGCAGTTGGAAGTTTACATATTTCTTGGGTATAAAAATAGATTGGGGCCAGGCGCGGTGGCTCACGCCTGTAATCCCAGCACTTTGGGAAGCTGAGGCGGGTGGATCACGAGGTCAGGAGATCGAGACCATCTTGGCTAACATGGTGAAATCCCGTCTCTACTAAATATACAAAAAATTAGCCAGGCGTGGTGGTGGGCACCTGTAGTCCCAGCTACATGGGAGGTTGAGGCAGGAGAATGGCCCGAACCCGGGAGGCGGAGCTTGCAGTGAGCTGAGATCGCACCACTGCACTCCAGCCTGAGCGACAGAGTGAGACTCCATCTCAAAAAAAAAAAAAAAAAAATAGATTGGAATATGGTTCTTGTAAGTACTTACTACACCATCACTGTGAAGTTCTATTCTACAAATGTATTTGTTTAAGTTTTCTAAAACTACTTATTTACCTTTTTTTTTTTTTTTTTGAGATGGAGTCTCGCTCTGTAGCCCCAGCTGGAATGCAGTGGTGTGGTGTGATCTTGGGTCACTGCAACCCCCACCTGCCAGGTTCAAGCGATTCTCCCTCCTCAGCCTCCTGATTAGCTGGGATTACAGACACCCACCACCATGCCTGGCTAATTTTTGTATTTTTGTAGAGATGGGGTTTCACCACGTTGGCCAGGCTTGTCTTGTACTCCTGACCTCAAGTGATCTGCCCACCTTGGCCTCCTAAAGTTCTGGGATTACAGGCTTGGGCTACCATGCCTGGCCTACAAAGAACTATTTAGTAAGCTAAAAATAAAATAAATATATATATACATACATTTTTTACTGTAAGTATTTATATTTTTAAAGGGAACTTTTAAAATATAACAATGCCCAAGCCCTAACTCAGACCATTTAAGTCAGGATGTCTAGATGTTGGACTTGGACATTGGTATTTTATAAAAAGTTCCTCTTATGGTTTGAGAACCACTGTTCTAGAAACAAACAAACAAAGCAAACCTTGGTGGAGTGCCTGCTACTTACCCAAACAGTGTAGATTCCTTCTAATTCCCTTTGTTCATCACAAAACCCGCTGACACAGGTATCCTTATTATTTCCATTTAAAGATGAAAACACTGAGAAACAAAGAGATTTAGTAAAGGCACACAGATGACTTATAAAGTCATATAGATGGCACAAAGTCATATAGGCAGAATGTGTTGGAAATAGAATTTGAACTGGACAGTCTGACTCATGTTCAATATTTTATGCTGCCTATTACATGCCTGGCACATCATAGTCACTCAGCATTTCTGTAAGGAATGCATCCAGGTACAGGCAACATGTAATTAAGTCCAAGCTATTATGAGAATGTAAAAGGGAGACCTACCACAATACAGCTGACTATACAATGCTATGCCACATCCATTTGAAATACAAGCTAGGGGCCTGGTGCGGTGGCTCACGCCTATAATCCCGGCACTTTCGGAGGCCAAGGTGGGTGGATCACCTGAGGTCAGCAGTTCGAGACCAGCCTGGCCAACATGGTGAAACCTCGTCTCTACTAAAAAAAAAAAACAAAAATTAGCCAGGCATGGTGGCGGGTGCCTGTAATCCCAGCTACTCAGGAGGCTGATGCAGGAGAATTACTTGAACTGGGAGGCAGAGGTCTCAGTGAGCCGAGATCCCACCATTGCCCTCTGGCTGGGCGACAAGAGAAAACTCCATCACAAAAAAAAAAGAAAGAAAAGAAAAAGAAAACAAACTAGGAGTCAAGGACTAAGAATTTTCAGTAACCAGAATGGTCTTTTTATTACTTTTCTTGATAATTTACAATTCTGACTGTTGGGATTGTTGGCATGTGGAAATAACAGGGTTCACTGTTTTACATAGTAAAAATTAATATTGATGAACTTATGATATCGAGATGCTCAGAACTTTATTTGTTCCTGGGATCCTAGTAGGTATTAATTCAGGACATACAGTACTTCAAATATTGTTTTAGGAAGAGGGATAACATAGCAAAGGTGTTATTCCATTAGATAAATGGAAAAAAGGAAGTTCTAAGCCAGAAGAATAGCATTAAGTAGAATAAAAAATACATAAACAGGGCTGAGCGCAGTGGCTCACGCCTGTAATTCCAGCACTTTGGGAGGCCGAGGTGGGCAGATCACAAGGTCAGGAGTTCGAGACCAGCCTGGCCAATATGGTTAAACCCCGTCTCTACTGAAAATACAAAAAAATTAGTCTGGTGTGGTGGCAGGCACCTGTATTCCCAGCTTCTTGGGAGGCTGAGGCAGAAGAATCGCTTGAACCCGGGAGGCAGAGGTTGCAGTGAGCCAAGATTGTGCCATTGCACTCCAGCCTGGGTGACAGAGCGAGACTCTGTCTCAAAAAAAAAAAAAAAAAAAAAAAAAAACAGTACTCTCAGAAAAATGCAAGAAATATGTAAAAATTTGAAATGACCAAAAACTGAATCACTTATGTTACTCTTACAGAGTCTAGCACAGTACCTGGGGACTGGCTTCCTTGGACCTGGTCTTGGGTGGAACCACCTTCCAGTCCTTCAGTTCTCTCCTCCACTTTGCTTTCAATGAGTCTTGCTACTGAATGAAAGGATATGTAGAAAGCCCAGAGCACCTTATATTTTCTCCAACCCCCAAAGTAAACATTCATACTTGCCAAACAGAGAAACATGGGACCTAATGTTCATGTCAGAAATGTATCATATAATGACTATCGGTTCTTGGCTTTCTGCAACACACATTTAGCCCATTGACAATGCTTGAGGCGCACATTTAAATAGAGATTATGCAAATATGATATGAGGATGCCAACATAAATTCGATGGTGTTTCTCACAGCAGAGCAGCACCAGAAAAGACATGGCTTTCAATTTAACTGCATTAAAATTGGTCTCTGTTGGAATACTTTCTTGGAAATAAAAGGGAGATAAAATTGTATTATCTTCTTTTCTGTTTTTTTTTTTTTTTGGCAGAATTGCATGTTATAGAAACAACTCTTCACTTATGAATAGAGACCCAAACTCATATTAAAATATTTCATAGCTATTAAATACTAGAACTTGAATCAAAGTTTCATAAAGCAGGCAATGGAGATATATAGAAGAATATATAAGTATTCTCTCTATTGGTTAGGAAATGAGTACTTCTATTAATTAAACTCTGTATTCATGGCAGAAGCAATCTGCTTATTTAAAAGGTATAAAATAAAATTAGTATCTATTTGCCCTTTTTACTCGTGTGACCATTGGTAATTTTTCTCTTCAAATATAGCTGTCTTTGGAAATATGTTTCATGGACATAATGGTTTGTACAATTGAACTTGAACAACCTAATACAGTCATGCACACAGACTTGCATTAGCATGCATCAAAATAGCATTTCAATTCTAATTTCTTCAAGTCCTTTTCTCCTACCAAGCATTCTCTGTCTGCCTTTAGTAAAGCATTTAGCTATAAAGGTGCAGAATCATCAAGGAGTTTCATGATAGAATGATAGGAGTATCAAAAGATAAGAATCTACTTTTTTCATAATACCCTCAGAAAGATTTTCTTCATCTACAAAATACCATCTCATAAAGAAAGCAAACTCAGTGGCTCAACCAATAGGTTATGTTTTTGTATTGCTCTCAAAATACGAGGAACTAGCAGAAAAATGTAGCAGCAATCATTTATTTTTGAAGCATGAATAATATGATCTTCTTTTTTTTCCACAAGAAAAAAATATAACTGAGATTTCATTGCATAGAATTGAAAGCTTTTTCCTTTTGTTAGAAACAGAAAGAGGAAATTGACACAGACCTGTATCAACTAGGACAAACCCTACCTCGAAGGAACATGGCTTTCTTCCTTTTACAAGTAGATGGTAAAATGCAAACACTCATTTTTTTAATATATATATATATGTTGTCAAATGCTACCAAAGATGACTGTTACGCTTTTTCTTAAAAGCATCTGATTTGTCCTCTTTCTGAAGGGTAAGGTGTCCCTTATGGTTGTATGACTCCGATATGTGTTGACTCATTCAGCAAGAGAGTCAAATAAAAGAAAATTTTACCCGCACCATGCCTTTGACTTCAAAATCCATTTTCTAACCTTTGAAATTTCAGCGAAAAGCATTCTTTCTCTCCCGTGCTGTCAGGGAAACCTCACTGCAGTCACATTTTCAACACCTGGCGCCGCGTGCTGACAGGGTCTGGCTGATGGAACCCTTCTAACTAGACTGGAATGCACGGCCTTAAGCCTCCGTGATTGTCTGCTTGGCGACCCCCTCAGCCAAGAACGATGAATTGCTTGTTACTTTTCAAGTTTCTCCGAGACAGATAGACTGTTGTTAACTCTTGGGGAATGGTTTTAAGTGAGGTTATTTTAAAATCATCATAACTGGTCTATGGAAGATGAGTTTACATAATTTTATCCACTGATGGCTCACCAGCCTGCGTCATTTCTCCAAGTGGGAAGTTTATCTGTATGCACCTGGGAGGTACACATACCTATAGTTTTGGTTTAAAAATACTTCGTAGTGTCGCTTCAAATAGGGGCAAAAAAAACAGAGTTGATGATTTTGTGACACGCAGTTCTTTCCAATGGGTAATACAGATGATTTATTTCAAGAACAGTGGATCTTGTTCACTATGTTGTGCATCAGCACTGGAATAAAAGCCTTCAACAAAAATGTAACTTATCTTGTTCTGTTTGTTTTTCCCCCTGTACCAGAAGCATCTAGAACAGCAAGTGACACAGAGTAGGTGCTCAGTATATGTATTTTGAATCAATAATAGCACAGTTTCCTTAATGATTTGCAAAATCCTCTATTAAACCATTTAGGCATACTATTGGTATCACTTTATTTGCCTTATTATTTTTTCTACGATTTTATCGCCAACAATATGAATTTCTAATGGTCAATTATGGTCTCAAAAAATATCCTCTTTCCTTCTGTCTTTTGGTTTTCTGATTATCATCAAAATTCTTGTTCAAGTACACACTAATTTCTAACAACAATAACAGGAAAGTAAGACAATAAAATAAAATATATTGCCTAACTTCTAGCATATTCTACAGACCAATATTGTTTTTATTACAGAGCTATAGTTGATAGTCTAGCTTTAAGATTATTCCTATGCATGAAGTATGTGGTTCATGTGGAATCCCAGCATAAATATTTGGCAGACAATACATTTCTACATTTTGATGCATTTGCATTCACTTATTTTCTAAATATTTGCTTTCACTGCCTATTAATGTGCTAGCACCGCTCTAAGCACAAGGAATATATATATAGCTGTGAAGAAATCGATCAAACTCCCTACCCACATGGAGCTTTCATTATAATGAAGGGGAGACAGACAGTTAAAAACAGATTCAAAATTATACCATATATTAAAAGGAGATTGTTATCATGAAGGAAAATAAAGCAGAAAGGGGTGGAATGTAAGGTATCCTGGGAGTCTTACGATTTTTAATAAAGCAGCCAAGAAAGTGACTTTTGAGCAGAGAATTGCAAGGATGTGAGGGGAAGTGAAACACTGAGCCATGTAGATACCAGAGCAAGAGCATGCCAGATAGAGAGAAAATCAATCATGAGGCCCTAAAGCAAAAATGTGCTAGGCATGTTTTTTGGAAAGGTAAGGAAAGCAGGATGTTCAGAGAAAAATGAAAGATGATAGGATGGAACTTTGAAAGAGGGCCCAGAGAGGCAATAAAGGATACACTTTCAGGGCTTTGCAGGAGACTGGAGAATTTTGGCTTTTGTTCTGAATGTGATGAATTGCCATTGGAGGCTTCTAAGAGGAGAAGTGTCCATCTGAATTACCATTTAAAATAATAACTCTGGGTGCTGGGTTGAGAATAAGCTATGGGTGATGGGGCAGTGGTAGCAGCAGGAAGAATAAATAGGCTCCTTATTACAATAGGCTCTTGTAGTACTTGAGGCAAGAGATGTTGATGTCTCAGATCAGAGCAGTAACCATAGAGGTGGTAAAGATGATTAGATTCTAGACATTTTTTGAGGG
Organism: Homo sapiens; assembly: GCF_000001405.40. Lineage (NCBI taxonomy): Eukaryota > Metazoa > Chordata > Mammalia > Primates > Hominidae > Homo > Homo sapiens. The sequence continues at coordinate 9,991,076 of NC_000010.11, read as the reverse complement.
TATAACTGATGTGTTTGAAAGAAAGACAGAAGTCCAAGGCTTTTGACCTATACACTGCAAAGGTTGTCTTGAAGTTAACTGATATGGAGAAAACAACTCTTGGGGTAAGTTTGATATGAGGATCTTCTGGTAGATTGAACGTGTGGGGTGTGGGGTGTGGGGTGAAAGATGAACAAGGAAAGAATGATGTAAAACTCGGTGGATGCATGAAAAAGGCCCCAGGAGGGTCCACATCTACATTTGTGCATAGCATTCACTCCACTGGCTGTAAGAAGATAATATAAAAATAACAAAAGATAGCTTTTTAAATTATTTATATTATTGAACTGTTGAACAAAGCAGAAAATGATGAAAGATAAAATTATCCATTTTATGTAAGAAACAATCTTTTTATTACAACTAATATACAGGCTAAAATACCCACACATTTCTCTGCAGTGGGCATAGAAGGCCACATTATCTTAATCTGAAATGGAATGGATGTCTATGTTAATTCATTAGTCACTTTGTGTAAAGATGCTATCTCTGTTTCTAGAATCTGTAGATTGGATTATTGAATAATTAGAATGTAAGCTGCAGACGTCATGATATTTTGCTCATCAGTAGTTTGGTCTGCATTTCCTAAGAATTAGGATAGCTTCTACATAACCACAATACAACGATCACAACCAAGAAACATGACAATGATCCAATATTTTCTAATTATGCCATCTATATTCAAATTGCTTCAGCTGCCCAAAAGTGTTTGTTTATTGTTTCAATCTGAGATACAGAAAGGATCACACTTTACATTGTGGGAGGGTTTTTCTCTTAAATCTAGAAAAGCTCTACTGCTTTTTCATGACACTGACATTTATGTAGAGTTCAAAGACCGTGTCTTAAGAATGCCTTTGAATTTGTTGGATTATTTCCTCTGAACTCTTCTCAGATTTACGTACTGTCAATACTACTACACAGGTGTCATATACTTCCTGGTGCACCATATCAGGAGGCACGTATTGCCAATTTTTCCCATTATTGACAATAGTAAACACCACGAATAAATGGTAAAATAATTATTTTCAGATTTTATAATTGTAAAAATACCTCTTTCTTTTCTAGTTAATGAGCTATTATTTATGGATGGACACCTTGTGAATGTTGAATAATGTCCTCTTACCCAACAAATTCTCATCCAATGCTATTAGCATCCATTAATTATCTGAATCAAATATTATATTGGTGATTGCACAATGATATTTTCTAAGTCTATCATTCAGTCTATGTTTATTAACTGGCATTTCTCTTCATTTTCTTTCAAGCCTATCACTATGAACTCCTGTGTTATAATTCATTAATACCAAACTATTATGATTCCTTTTTCAGGCTTTTGATCAAAGTAGTTTTTTACACTATTATTTTGAGTTACTGTTTTATATATTTTTGAATATGTAAATATTTACATGGTTCAAAATTTAAAGCTATGTGAAAATGTAAATTGATAGAAGTACCACTCACATTCCTATTCCTCCATTCCTTTTTCAACTATCTGCCATAGGTAACCATTTTTACTAATTAATGATTTCTCAGTAGTTCCTGATTTTGTCTATCTGTTTGATTTTACAAATATAAGCAATCATGCATTTTTCAATATTTTCCTGTTTTATACACAACAATGGGCATTCCTTATATAATGTGTGTACTAGTTCTTTTTCAGTTATCAATTCATGGACATATTTTATTGTCTCAGTCTCTCTCTTTTTACATTTGTAATATTTCATTGTTAGTATATGCCATCATTTATTCAACCATTGTCTCTCTCTAATATTTTGCTTTTATAAATAATGTTGAATACGTTGTTTTGTATTTGTAAAGATGTATCTTCAGGTAAACTTCTAGACGTGGGTTTTCTGGGTAAAACGGTAAACGCAAAACGAATTTCTTATAGTTTGTTACACTCCCACAGGTAAGTACGTCAGTGCCCATATACTGATAGTCATTTAAGAAAGTTTCCTAATATTTTATGGGAGAAATCACTTATTATAAAGTTAATTATGTAGGTCTTTGAGAGAAAAAGCAAGTACTAGTAGCCAGGAAATCACTGAAAGAGAAGAGAAATAATGAGGTATAATACAAATAGGTATTAAAACATATACATTCTCTGTAATATAAAAAGCTTAGTTTTGCTACATGAATAGACAGATCTCTATGTAAGCAATGACCCATCAAGACCAGCATGTATATATCATACTTTAAAAAACACCGCTTCTGAAAGTACACTTTAGCTAAATTGTTTCACATGTGTACAAGAAGATGCATACAAGAATATACATAGCAATTCTATTCAAAACAGCCAAAACCTAGGAAGAGTCAAAATGTACATTGCAATAAAAAATATTTAAAAACTGATACAATTTTATATGGCAGACAGAATGAATGAGGATACATTTATACATGGAATAACATGGGTGAATCTTAGAAACGATAATGTTGAATGGAAAAAGCTAAACTCAGAAGACTAAAATGGCAAGATACTAGTTTTATAAAACAAAAGAAGCAAAATCAAATCATACATATTTTAAGTTGTGTAATGTTTAGTAACTTTTTTTTTTTTTAGACTGAGATTCATGCTCTTATTGCCCAGGCTGGAGTGCAATGGTGCAATCTTGGCTCACGGCAACCTCTGCCTCTCAGGTTCAATCAATTATCCTGCCTCAGCCTCCTGAGTAGCTGGGATTACAGCCATGTGCCACCACGCCCAGCTAATTTTTTATTTTTAGTAGAGATGCGGTTTCTCCATGTTGGTCAGGCTGGTCTCGAACTCCTGACCTCAGGTGATCTGCTGCCTTGGCCTCCCAAAGTGCTGGGATTATGGGCATGAGCTACTGCACCCGTCCTGCTTTTTCAAATAGCTAAAAAATGTTAAATAAAATATTTAGAAAAGTGGCTGCCTTAAGGAGAGATAAGGAACCAGAAGAAAATACACCAGTAGTTTCAGTAAAAATGGACCAGTAGTTTCAGCAAGAATAACGACTTAGTTTTAAAATTATATGGTGGGTTTATAAGTAACTTTTGTTTTTATGGTTTGTAATTTTTACATATATTATGTAATGGGCATGACTAGTTCTTTGCTCTTCAAGATCCCATTCATTGTTTCACTATGCCTCTTCTCAGGCTTTTGTGTGCTGTTAATTTTAAGAGCCCTTAACTCTGACTGCCTTTGATAATTGCCATTATCCTAATGGAATCACGTTAGTTACGTGCACACAATCAGAGGTACCTGAGATTCATTTCCCCCTGGGGTGGCCTTTAACTAACAGAGAAAAATCAGTGAAAAGATAAACTGGTTCTGCAGGACATCGCTATCTCCTTTCCTAATTCCCCTTCCTATTCCTGACCTCCAATATTGGTATAGATTAGGATCTAGTCTTTGGTCTTCTTCCCTTTGTTATCTATATTCAGTCTTTCAGTGAATAAATGGACTCTGATGGTTATATGATCATCATCTCAAAATTGTATCTTTTGTTTAAAACTCTACACCAACTTCAGACTTGTACTTCTGTCTGCATGATGAACACCTCCTTCTGGATGTTTAATAGACCCTTCAAATTCAACGCATCTCACCGTGAGAACCGAATGTTCCTTCTAAATGTACTTTTTCACAATGTTCCTATTTTAGTTTATTGCTCCGAGCTCCTCAGGCCAAGCCAACAGAAAATTTTGGCAACTTCCCCTGTGCCAGAAAGCGTTAGCTCCTTACAGGGGGGTTGTTCAAATCCTGCACATTCCAAAGAAAGGCTTGTCTTCAGGACTAGTCCTTGCTCTTGGAATATAACCTCTGAGCCCTTGGAATACTTTGTCTGCTAAGATTGTTTTTGGATGCTTGAGAATTCAGGCCATACTGTACCAGCATGACCAAATAAGTTTGTCCTAAGAATGTGATTTATGGCGAATAACCTACTTTTGTTCTGAAGAGCTGAAGTCAGGCATGCAGGTGCGGTGCACCTATGTGGGTGGCCCCCAATTAAAAACCCTGGCAGTGAGGCTCAAGTGAGTTTCCCTGGTTGGCAACACATCACATGTGTTGTAACATTTTGTTGCTGAGAGAATTAAACATGTGACAGCCATAGGGGCAAACACTTGGGAGCTTGGCCTGGCTTCTCCTGGACTTGGCTACATGTGCCTTTTCCTTGGTGATTTTGCCACAGATTCTTTAGCTACAATAAACTGTAACTATGACTATGACTGATACTGAATCCTGTCAATTCTTCTAGTCAACGATTTGAATATGAGGGTGGTCTTGGAGACCCCAAAAGACGTCTTCATTTAAAATATATTCAAAGGTTGAACCACTTCTCCCCAAGTACTTTGCTACTAAATATGTCCGTGTCACCATCATTTCTCATCTTGATTACTAAAATAGCTTCCTGGTAGGGGCCTCAGCTTGTACTGTTGATCCTATTTTATTCTCAACACAGTAGTCACTGTGATTCTTGTAAAACATAAGCCAGTTCTGGGCGAGGTGGCTCACGCCTGTAATCCCAGCACTTTGGGAGGCCAAGGCGGGTAGATCACAAGGTCAGGAGATCGAGACCATCCTGGCTAACACTGTGAAACCCCGTCTCTACTAAAAATACAAAAAAAAAAAAAAAAAAAATTAGCCAGGCGTGGTGGCAGGTGCCTGTAGTCCCAGCTACTCGGGAGGCTGAGGCAGAGAATGGTGTGAACCCGGGAGGTGGAGCTTGCAGTGAGCCGAGATCGCACCACTGCACTCCAGCCTGGGCGACAGAGGGAGACTCCATCTCAAAAAAAAAAAAAAAAAAAAAAGTAAGCCAGAGCAACTTCCAGCTATAGGGATTAGCCTTTATTAGACTAAGCTTCCCACCAAGAAAAACTAAAATCTGGATATAATATTAGTAAAATAAGTTTAAGGCATTAAATAATTAAAAGGCAGTGAGAATTGAAGGGCCATGATCTTGAAGATAAATAAAGTATACAAATGACCTTGGTATTTGGCATGGCTCTCCATCTCAAGGCATTTGCTGATTCAGATGCAGCATAGAAGAGGCTGAAAAGTTAAAAAGAGAAGCTGAGTTTTGGAGAAGTGAACAACAGAGTGGTGAAGTCAACGAATGGAAAGCCAAAGCCAATAAGCTATGAAGCTGAGCCAAATTTTAAGCCAGATCTTGAGTATTGTGAACTAAAAAAAAATGGAGTTCAAAACATACCGAGGATATCAGACAAAGAAAAAGAAAAAGAAAAAGAAATACGAAATAAAATGGTATATGTAAACTAAAATATATCTACATTACATTAAAAATAAGCAGTACCCTAAATACTGATTGAAAGGATACACTTTAAATAAAGTAATTAAAAGAAAAATATTGTCAGTCTCTATAAAAAAGAAACTGTACGTTGCTTAGAAGACACAAACACTTAAGTACTACAGAAAAATTGAAAGTAAAAGGATAAAAATAAGTGACATGGAATACTGACCAAGGGAAAGTTGATATTACTGTATACTAATATCATTTAAACAAAATGCATTGCTAGAGATAAGAGGCTATTTAATAATGACAAGAGTCACTCCAGTACAATGTAACAATTCTAAATTTCTATACATAGCTTAAAAATACATTTCTATGTATAGCTTAAAATACATAAATTTGTTATGAACTAAATTGTGTCCCTTCAAAATTCATATATTGAACCTCTAACCCCCAATATGACTATATGTGGAGATGGGGTCTTTAAGGAAGTAACTAAATAAAATGAAGACATTAGGGTGACCCTAATCTAATAGAACTGGTGTCCTTAAAAGCACAGGAAGAGATGTCAGGGATACACATCCAGAAAATTTCATATGAGGACACAGCAGCCTGAAAGTCAAGAAAAAGGGCCTCAGGAGAAAGCAAGCCTGCAGACAACTTGATCTGTGACTTATAGCCTCTTAAACTTTGAGAAAACAAATTTCTGTTGTTCAAGCCACCCAGTTAGTGGTATTTTGACATAGCAGCCCTAGTAAAGTAATATGAATATATAAAATGTTTTAAATGACAGAACTAAATAAAATAGAGACAGTAGGAGCTGCCTCTCCCATTCAATTAAACTGGAAGTTCTATCTGGTTAAACAGAGCAAAAATTATAAATAAAAGTCAAAAAATAATATGAAGGAAAAAGAAAACATTCAAATGTAGTTTTTCATTATTTGTACATTATATTATACAGTACACAGAGAAAATCCAAAAGATTTTTCAGATACAACCTTAACAAGTGAATTCAGCAATAATGTAACGAACAAAAAGTTTTCTTCTATGTATTAGCAACAAAGAGAAGATAATTTAAAAATGGTGCCATTTAGAATGGCATCAAAATATCAAATGTCTATATATACACACCAAATATCTATAAATGCATCTAATCCAAAATTATGTAAAATCTTCCCATAAAAAAACTACCAAGCTCTATTAAGAATAATTTTGACATTTCTAAATAAATTGAAGGATTTGTCATGGATTGAATGACTTAATATTATAAAACCCTCAATTCTCAGGTTGATCTGTATAGTACACATAATCCCAACCAAACTCAAAGACTAAGAATGGCCAAGATAGCCTTGAAGAAGATGAAAAGTGGAAGATAAAAAGCTTTATTGTACAGTAGCAAAATAACTTATTATAAAGGTACAGAAAAGTAAACATAAATAAATAGACCAATAAAACAGATAGTCCATAAAGAGACTAATGTATATAATGTATTAGTCCCTTTTCACGCTGCTAATAAAGACATACCTGAGACTGGGAAGAAAAAGAGGTTTAATGGACTTACAGTTCCACATGGCTGGGGAGGCCTCACAATCATGGCAGAAGGCCAGCAGGAGCAAGTCACATCTTATATGGATGGCAGCAGGCAAAGAGAGAGCTTGTGCAGGGAAACTCCTGTTTTTAAAACCACAGGATTTCATGAGAGTTATTCACTATGATGAGAACAGCATAGGAAAGACCTGCCCCCATGTTTCAATTATCTCCCACCAGGTCCCCCCCCCACAACACACGGGAATTGTGGGAGATACAAGATGAGATTTGGGTGGGGACACAGAGCCAAACCATATAATATAGATACAGCTGTGGAGAAACGAAGGCCCACTCAACATTTGTTCATCGAATATCCACATGGAAAATTGAATCTTGGCCTATGCCTCATGTTATACACAAAAATTGATTCCAAGTGGATTGCCATCTAAACGTGAGAGATAGAACAATGGATCTTCTACAAGGTACTATAGAAAAAAATCGTCATTATCTTAGGTTATGCAAAGTTGTCTTAAAATAATAATTTGAAAGGAATTTTTAAAAGTTTAATTAACAAGTTAAAAAATTAGCTTGTTCTACCATAAAGACACATGCATGTGTATGTTCATAACAGAGCTATTCACAATAGCAAAGCCATGACATCAACAAAAATGGCCGTCAAAGGGAGACTGGATAAGAAAATGTACTACATATATATCATGGAATACTACACAGCCATGAAAAAGAATGAGATCACGTCCTTTGAAGCAACATGGATGGAACTGGAGGCTATTATTCTCAGTGAACTAACAGGAACAGAAGAGCAAATACTTCATGTTCTCACTTCTTATATAAAGGGAGCTAAACTTTGAGTACACATGGACACAAAGAAGGCAACAACACCAGGGCCTACTTAAGGGTAGAGGCTGGGAGGGGAGTTAGGATTTAAAATGTACCCATTGAGTACTAGTTTATAACCTGGGTAATAAAATAATCTATACACAAAATCTCTGTGATGCACAAGTTACCTGTATAACAAACTTGCACTTGTACTACTGAACCTAAAATAAACATTTTTTAAAAAGAGGCTGGTGTATCAATTTTTTTCTCACCTTCCATTATAATGCAACTGACAAAGAGACATCTGACCTGTCTTGTTCACTGTTGTGTTCCCAGCTATCATGCTTATACCTGGCATATAGTAAGAAAGCTCAATGAGTGTCTATAGAATGAATGAAGGGACGAATACATGAGAGAGATACATCCATTTTCCTGGCTTTTCATTAGTAAGTCTCTGTTCTTTTATCCATGGAATAAATACTTGATCCCATGATCATATATGGAAACCCTGCTTGCCATGTCTCCCACTAGGAAAATCTCATGGTACATTAGTATATTAAAATATAAAATTTGCTTAGGATATCTGCAATTTAAAAATACTCCTTTTATAACTTTTCAAATATTTCCAGAATTGCTTTGACACTGGAATCATTTTCACTTGGTTCCTATTAACATTCTGAGAAAGACAGTACTCCATCATAAGGGCCTGGGGAATTAAAACAGCAATGATAAATAAAGAAGGCTTGCTGTCTAGAGTTCTGCTGAGGGCAATACAGAGTGAAGGTCCAAGGCTCAGTTAAGAAGGGGCATGTAATTGTCCCTTTCCTTTGGCAAAGTCTTACCTAACAGCCACATGGAATAAAAAGGAAAAAATGGGTTAATGCGGTACAGAATAAAATAAAGAAACATAAAAAAGTAAAACATAGTGGCAAGGTTTCCACAGAAGCAATACTAAAACTCTTGTTGCTTTCAGTTACCGTAAAAAAAGTGTAAATCCAAAACGAAAGCATCAGAATCCACTGAGGCAGAAGCAAGTTCTTAGTATCATCCCCTGCAGTTCTTGCCTAACATACAGAGAAGGCAGGTTTTTTTTATTGCTGTAATAAAACATAAAGGTAAGGACAGAAAAGTGTGGGAAAATCACTAGCGATTGGCCCCATCTCAGAGTATTTGTTGTGTAGCTGGAAGAGCATTTGGTGGTCTAATAGAATACTCCTATATTTCCTCTTTTCTCATCATGTGACTTTGAAATTGGTCCCACATTTCACTCGCGTTCCCCATATATTTCCGAACCCAATATTGCCTTTTCTGGGATGTGACTCCTGTTACAGTCAAGATCCATGCCTTCCTATAATAGCAAGTTTCTCTACCAGAAAAAAAAAAAATTCTTTTTTACTCAGCATTACATAAACAAGTCATATCTAATTCTCTGAAGTGAAAATGCCATAAAAGATATACACGTATACATTCTTTCAGCTAAATTGGTGCCATAAAGCTGTATTACAAAGATGAATAATGCTTTTCTTCAGTGATGTTTAGGGCTATACAAATACAGTTTAGAGACATTTTGGTTTCTTCTACCTTTGCAGGATAAGATGTTAAAAGAAATCATTACTATATATTATTGAAGATAAAACGGTTGGGTTATAACACTTTTAATATGGTGAACCTAGGCCAAATATTGAAGCTGGCATTTGTTTTATTGCTTTTGACATCTCTTGTTTAAAGTCTCAGAAATGAAAAATTCTAATGAAAGTCATACGGAACGTTATTGATATAATCTCTATAAAGTAAAATCTCAATAAAAATTTATGTCGCCTTATTTAATGAGACGATAGGAAATGAAATCATTCTTGGAGACATGTTTAAATGGCCAATCAGCTGTAATTTAACTATTGCCTGGATATTTTATGCTCTTGCAGATTCCAGGATGCATTTTCTTTCAGAAATGTTCTGTTGATGCCTTTTATTCTACAGAGGATTTGATGACAGTTATTACACCATGCCACATTATACTGCTTGTACTAAAATAATTCAATAATATAGTGTTAAATATTATCCAGGATCTATAAAGAAGATTTTTATTCTCTTATCTCCCTATAGTTCAATAGTTTCCAAAGACCTCTGTCTGTTGGAATACACATGTGATCAGAAATATTGACATGTTATTAAAATGTCTGTAGAGAGCCATTTCCTGCTTCATCTGGAAAATGAGAAGCATCTCCAGCATGTTTAAAAATCCATTTAACTCCAACACATTAGACATGGTTATTTCACAAATAGAAACCAAAACATGTTGAAAGAAAAGTCTTAATCCTAACACTCAATTCTCCGTCCCTGTAGTTCAGCCTATTCCAGAATGTCATTCCAGAATGTCAATTTCAATTATATGACCTTCCAGAATGTCATATAATTGAAACTGAATAGTAAGTAACCCTTTCAGATGGGATTATTTCATTTAACAATATGCACTTAAGGTTCTTCGATGTTTTTCATGGCTTAACAACCCATTTTCTGTTGATGCTGAATGATATACCATTGCATCAATGTGCCACCTTTTGTTTCTCCACTTATGTATTCAAAGATATTTTGTTTGCTTCCACATTTGATGATTATGAATAAAGCTGCTGGAAATACTCATGTGCAGGTTTTTGTGTGTACACACGTTTTCAGTTTAATTGGGTACATATATGTGCATGATTGCGGAATGTTAAAAAACAGTCAACCAATCATCCAAAGGGGCTGTATCATTGTTCATTACAACAAGCAGTGAAAGAGTTTCTGCCTCTCCACATGATCATCAGCATATGGTATTGTCAATTTATTTTTGGACAATCTAACAGTTATGTAAGAGTACCTCATTATTGTTTTAACATGGAATTCCCTAAAAACAAATGATATTGAGCATCTTTTTATATGCTTTCTTGCCATCTGTTTTATCTTGTTTGGTAAGGTGCCTATTCAGTTCTTTTTTAATTGGGTCCAATTTTAAAAGCCCTTCTTTTAACTGGGTTGGTTTGTTATTGTTGAGTTTTAAGATGTCTTTGTTCAACGTGGATATAGGGTCTTCAACATGTATGTCCTTTGTAAATATTTTCTCCTAGGTCCTTCATCATATATGTCCTTTACAAATATTTTCTCCTAATCTGTGGCTTGTGTGTTCATTTTCTTAAGAGTATCTTTTACTAGATTTTAATAAAGTGCTATTTACCAAGCTTGTCTTTCATTGACTAAGCTTTTGGTGTTGTGTCTAAAAACGCATCATCAAATTCAATGTTGTCTAGATTTTCTCCTAAACTGTCCTCTCAAAATGTTATAGTGTTACAATTTGCATTTGGGTCTATGTTCCATTTTAGTTAATTTTTGAGAAATGTGTAAGTTTTGTGTTTAGATTCATTTACATGAATGTCTAATTGTTCCAGCATACATTTTTTAAAGGGTATGTTTCTCTATTGTATAGGCTTTGCTCCTTTGTCAGGGACCAGTTGACTATATTTTTGTGGGTTTATTTCTCGGCTGTTTACTCAGTTCATTGAACTCTATGTCTACTCTTTCATCAATATTAGGCTGTCTTGATTTTATTGTCTTGATTATTTAGCTTTATATTATGTCTTGAAGCTGAATAGCATCATTTTTTCTAACTGCTGTTCTTCTTAAGTACTGTGTTGGCTATTCTGGGTATTTTGCCTTTGCATATAAACTTCAGAATTAATTTATAAATATCTACAAATTAGCCTACTGAAATTTTGTTTTGGATTGCACTGAATCTATAGATTAAGTTGGAAAAAAATGGAATCGAAATAGTATAAAATTGTCCTATTGAAACACAAGATATCTCTTGAAATATTTATTAATATCTTCTTTGATTTCTTTAATAAGAGTTTAATGGTTTTCTGCATATAGATCTTCTACATATGATTAGATTTACACCTAAGTATTTTTGGTGCAAATACAAATGGTATTTTGTTTTAAATTTTTTTTTGTTTGAGACAGAGCCTTGCTCTGTCACCAGGCTGGAGTGCAGTGGCAGGATCTTGGCTCACTGCAACCTTTGCCTGGGTTCAAGCAATTCTCCTGCCTCAGCCTCCCGAGTAGCTAGGACTACAGGCGTGCACCACCACATCCATCTAATTTTTGTATTTTTAGTAGAGATGGGGTTTCACCATGTTTACCAGGATGGTCTCGATCTCTTGACCTCGTGATCCACCCGCCTCGGCCTCCCAAAGTGCTGGGATTACAGGTGTGAGCCACCACGCCTGGCCTTAAATTTTATATTCTAATTATTAATTGCTGGTTGGATTGGGAATCCCCATGACCACATTCAAGATTAATTGTTAGAAGGACTCGTGGGACTCAGAAAAGCCATTATAATGATGGTCATAATTTATTACAGCAAAAAGAGATTATAATTAGCAAAGGAACTAGGCATATAAGACCCAATTTATGATAAACTAGGCACAAGCTTCCAGGATTGTTCTCCTAATGGCATCTCACAGGTACTCTTAATTTTCCCCGTAACAATATGTGATATGTTCAAAGTGTTGCCAACCAAAGAAGGTTACCTGAAGTTTGGTGTCCAGTGTTTTATTGGGGATGAGTCATGCAGGCATGCAGTACCTGCATGAGGAACCTCAACTACTCCAGCTCCCTTGAGCAAAAACATGCTTCACCATAAATCACATCTGTTAGCATAAACTATCTGATCAGTTTGCTACTATGTGGTTCAAGGCCTCAACCATGCAAAAACTGGCATTTACAATTTTAGCATATGTTATCTGATCAAACGGGCATATCATGGCCCCAGGTCTCAGGCACAGAAAAACACTCTTATCAAGCAGACTATTTCAAGGGCTCAGAGCTCATCTTTCATGATACAGCCAATTGCCAGTCACAAAGACAGTCCTTTAATCGGAAAGTGCCCAATTTGAGAAACCCAGGCCTGCTGAGTTAACCCTTTTCTGCATGTTGGTACATAGGAAAACAATTAGACTTTGTATATTACCATTGTATCCTGCCATTTTGCAGTAATTGTTTGTTAGGTCCAGGATTAATTTTGTTGATCCTTTTGGATTTTCTACATAGACAGCTGTGAACAAAGGAAAAAGTTATTTATTCCTTCCAAATCTGTATACTTTTATTTCCTCATCTTATTTTATTGCACTATCTAGGATTTTAAGTTATAGTATTAAATAGCAGCAGGGAGAGTAGACATCCTTGCTTTGTTCTGAATCTTGTAGGAAACCATCTAGTTAAGGTTGATTTTAGCTGTAGATTTTTTGTAGTGGTTCTTTATCAGGTTGAGGAAATTTCTAATCGTAGTTTACTGAGAGTTTTAACATGAATTGATGTTGGATTTTGTGAAATACTTTTTCTATATCTATTGATAGGATCCTGTGATTTTTTTATAATTTCAACTTTTATTTTAGACACAAGGGTACATGTGCAGGTTTGTTACATGGTTATATTGCACTTTGCTGAGGTTTGGGGTAGACATCCCATTACCCAGGTAGTGAGCATAGTACCCAATAAATAGTTTTCAACCCAGACCCCTCTCTCTCCCTTCCTCCTTCTCCAGTGTCTATTGTTCCCATCTTTATGTCCATGTATACCTAAAGCTTAGCTTCTACTTACAAGAAAAGACATGCAGTATTTGGTTTTCTGTTTCTGTTTCTGTGTTAAATCATTTAGGATTATAGTCTCCAGTTGCATCCATATTGCTGCAAAGAACATGATTTTGTTCTTTTTTCATGACTGTGTAGTACTCCATGGTGTATATGTACCACATTTTCTTTATCCAATTCACTGTTGATGACATCTAAGTTGATCCCATGTCTCTGCTCTTGTGAACAGTGCTGCAATGAATATATGAGCACAAGTGTCTTTTCAGTAGAATGATTTGTTTGCTGTAATGAGATTGCTGGGTTGATTGGTAGGTCTGTTTTAGATTCTTTGAGAAATCTTTAAACTGCTATCCACAGTGGCCAAACTAATTTACATTTCCACTAAGAGTGTGTAAGTGTTGCCCTTTCTCCACAGCCTTGCCAGCATCTGCTTTTTAATAATAGTCATTCTGACTGGTATGAGATGGTATTTCACTGTGGCTTTGATTTGCATTTCTCTGGTGATTAGTGATGATGTGCATTTTTTCATGTGTTTGTTGGCCACATGTATCTCTTCTTTTGAGAAATGTCTGTTCATGTCCTTTGCCCATTTTTTAAAGGGGTTATTTGTTTTTTGTGTGTTGATTAGCTTAGGTTCCTTATAGATTCTGGACCTTCATCAGATGCATTGTTTGCAAATATTTTCTTCCATTCTGTAGGTTTTCTGTTTATTCTGTTGATAGATTCTTTTGCTGTGCAGAATCTCTTTAGTTAAATTCAGCCTCATTGGTCAATTTTTGTTTTTGTTGCAATTGCTTATGGGGGCCAAAAGCTATTTGCCAAGGCAGATGTCAAGAAGGCAGATGTCAAGAAGTGTACTCCCTAGGTTTTCTTCTATAATTTTTATAGTTAGAGGTCTTACATTTAAATATTTAATCTATCTTTAGTTAATTTTTGTATACGGTGAAATGTAGGGGTTCGGTTTCATTCTTCTGTATGTGACTAGCCAATTATCCCAGCACCATTTATTGAATAGGGAGTCCTTTCCCCATTGCTTGTTTTTGTCAGCTTTGTAGAAGATCAGATGATTATAGGTGTGCAGTTTTATTTCTGGTTTGTTCCATTGATCTATGTGCCTGTTTTTGTACCAGTAACATGCTGCTTTTTTACTGTAGCCTTATAGTACAGTTTGAAGTGGGGTAGTGTGATCCCTCTGGACTTGTTCTTTTTATTTGTTATTGCTTTGGCTATTTGGGCACTTTTTTGGGTCTGTGTGAATTTTAGAAGAGTTTTCTTTTAATTCTGTGAAAAATGACATTTGTAGTCTGATAGAAACAGTCTTGAATCTGTAAATTGCTTTGGGCAGAATGGCCATTTTAACGATATTGATTCTTCCAACTCCTGAGCATGGAATGTTTTTCCATTTATTTGTGTCATCTCTAATTTCCTTTTGCAGTGTTTTTTAGTTCTACTTGTAGAAATCCTTCACCTCCTTGCTTAGCTATATTCTTAGATATTTTGTTTTTTGGTGATTGTGAATGGGATTATGTTCTTGATTTGACTTAGCTTGAGGGTTATTGGTGTATAGAAATGCTGCTGATTTTTGTACATTTATGTTGCAACCTGAAACTTTACTGAAATAGTTTATCAATTCTAGCCGCTTTTTGGTGGAATCTTTAAGGTTTTCTGAGTATAGAATTACACCAGCAATGAAGAGAGATAATTTGATTCCTTCTTTTTCTATTTGGATGCACTTTCTTTCTTTCTCTTGCACTATTTTTCTGGCTAGGACTTCCAATACTATGTTGAATAGGAGTAATGAGAGTAGGTATCCTTGTTTTGCTGCATTTCACAAGGGGCATAATTCTAGCTTTTGCTTAAACAGTGTGATATTGGCTATGGCTTTGTCTTAGATGGCTATGATTATTTTAAAGCATATTGCTTTGATGCTTAGTCTGCTGAGGGTTTTTATTACGAAGGGATGTTAGATTTTTTTCAGAAGCATTTACTGCATCTATTGAGATGATCATAGGGGTTTTGCATTTAATTCTGTTCATGTGGTGAATTACATTTATTGATTTGTGTATATAGAACCAGCCCTGCATCCCAGGAATAAACCTACTTAATTGTAATGTGTTATCTTTTTGGTGTGTTGCTAGATTCAGTTTGCTAGTATTTTATTGAGGGTTTTTGCATCTACGTTCAACAGGGATATTGGCCTGAAGTTTTCTTTTTTCTTTATGTCTCTGCCGGTTTTTGGTATTAGGCTAATACTGGCTTTGTAGAATTAGTTCTGGAGAAGCCCCTCCTCCTCAATTTCTTGGAATAATTTCAGTAGGATTGGTACCAGTTCTTCTTTGTATGTCTGATATAATTCAGCTGTGAATCCATCTGGTCCTGGGCTTCTTTGTTGTTGTTGTTTGGTAGGTTATTTATTACTGATTCAATCTCAAAACCTGTTATTGGTCTGTTCAAGTTTTCACTTTCTTCCTGGTTCAATCTTGGGAGGTTGTGCGTTTTCAAGAATTTATCAATTTCACCTAGATTTTCTAATTTGTATGCATAGAGTTGTTCATAATTGCCTCTGGGTATGTTTGTGTCTTTGTAGGATCAATTGTAATGTCATCTTCATTACTTCTGGTTGTACTTATTTGGATCTTCTCATTTTTTTCTTTGTTAATCTAGCTAGCAATATATCAATCTTATTTATTATTTTGAATAATCTCTCTTGCCTTCATTGATGTTTTGTATGGATTTTTGCACTCAATTCCATTCAGTTCTTCTCTAATTTTAGTTATTTCTTCTCTTCTGCTAAATTTTCTTTTTTTTAAGTTCCTCTAGGTGCGAGGTGAGATGGTTTATTTGAGATCTTTTAAAGTTGTTTATGAAGGCTATAATTTGGTGCTATAAACTTTCCTCTCTACACTGCTTTGGCTACATTCAAATATTGTGGTAAGTTGTTTCTCTGTTTTTATTAATACAAATTTTTTCATACCTGCCCATATTTTGTTGTTCACCCAGCTGTTATTAAGGAGCAATTTATTTAATTTCCATGTATTTTTGAGTTTTGAGATATTTTCTTGATGTTGATTTCTATTTTTAATGCACTGTGGTCTGAAAGTATACTTGGAATTTTAATTTTTTTGAATTCATTAAGATTTGCTGTATGAGTGAGCATGTGGTCAATCTTAAAATATGTTCCATGTGCAGATGAGAAGAATGTATATTCTGCGGTTATTGGGTGGAGTATTCTATTAGGTCCAACCGGTTGAGTTTCAAGTTTAAGTCCAGAATTTTTGTTTTTTGCCTTGATGTTTTGTCTAACATTGTTAGTGGGGTGTTAAAGTCTCCCATTATTGTTGTGTGGCTGTTTAAGTCTTTTTGTAGATCAAGAAGGACTTGTTTTATGAATCTAGGTGCTCTAATGTTGTGTGTGTATATATTATGAATAGCTCAGTCATCTTATTTAATTAAACCCTTCATCATTGTGTAAGTCCCTTCTTTCTCCTTTCTGATCGTTGTTGGTTTACAGTTTGTTTTATCTGATATGAAGAAATAGAGGCTCCTGCTCTTTTTCATTTTATAATTGCATTTTATGTTTGCATATGTTTGAATTTTGTGCTTTCAGTGTGTGAATTGCGGCAATAGTGAATATTGTATGTAATAGGTAATTTTTCAGCAAACATCCCTTTCTCACCTTCCTACTTTTAGGATTCTCCAATGCCAATTAGTCCCCTCTGTATGCTCATGCATACCACTTGTTCAGCTCCCACTTATAAGTGAGAACATTTGGTATATGACTTTCTGTGTCTGAATTATTTCACTTAGAATAATGGCCTTCAGCACCATCCATGTTGCTGGAAAAACATTATTTCATTCTTTTTAAAGACTGTGTGGTATTTCATGGTATTATATAACCACATTTTCTTTATCCAATCATCTGTTGATGAACACTTAAGTCAGTTGATTCCATGACTTTGCTAATTGTTAATAGTGCAGTGATAAATATACAAGTGCAGAGTTTTGTTTTTGTTTTTGTACATAATGATTTATTTTTTGGTGGGAGTAGATACCCAGTAGTGAGATTGCTAGATTGAATGGTAGTTCTATTGTTAGTTCTCTGAGAAGTCTCCATACGCTTTTCCATAGAGGTTGTACTAATTTACATTCCCACTAGCAGTGTGTAAGTATTCTTTTTATGTGCATAGCTTTTTGAGTTTTTCATAAAAGCCATTCCAACTGTTGAAAGATGGTATCCCATTGTGTTTTTAGTATTCATTTATCAGATGATTCCCTGATGTGGAGCATTTTTTCATGTTTGTAGGCTGAGTATATGTCTATTTTTGAAAAATGTGTGTTCATGTCTTTGCCCACTTTTTAAAGGAGTAGTTTGTGTTTTTCTTGTTGAGTTGTTTGAGTTCCTTATAGATTCTCGATACTAGCCCTTTCTTAGATGCATATTTTGCAAATATTTTCTCCCATTCTACAGGCTGTCTGTTTATTCTGTGGATAGTTTTGCTGTGCAAAAGCTTTTTAGTTTAAGTCCCATTTATCTATTTTTGCTTTTGTTGTGTTTGTTTTTGAGGACTTAGTCATAAATTATTTGCCTAGGCCAAAATTCAGAAGAGTTTTCCCTACGTTTTCTTCTAGAATTTTTATAATTTCATGTCTTACATTTAGATCTTTAATCCATGTTTAGTTCATTTTTTATATGGTGAGAGATATCGGTGCAGTTTCATTCTTCTGTGTATAGCTGTGCAATTTTCCTGGCATCATTTATTGAATAGTTTTCTTTTTCCAGTGTATGTTTTTGTCAACCTTGCTAAAAGTCAGTTGTTTGTAGGTAAATATTTTGTAATTATCCCACCATTATTGATTAGTCCACTTCATTTTTTCTTATTTATTTTTCTCTTTGTATTTCAGTTTGTGAAATTTTTATTGCTGTATCTTCAAGTTTTCTAATTGTTGCCTCAGCTGTGTCCCATCTACTGACGTATATATCAAAAGCACTCTTCATTTCTATTAAGTGTTTTATTTATAGTATTTCTTTCTGTTCCTTTGCACACTTACATTTTTACTTATATTACCCATCTATTCTAGCATGTTGTACTTTTTTTTATTAGAGCCCTTAAAGTATTGAGCATAGTTATTTAAACTTTCCTACCTTATAGTTCCACAGTCTGCATCATATATTAGTCTAATTCTAATGCTTACTTTTTCTTTTAAGACTGTTTTATGTGTTAGCATGTCTTGTGATTTTTTTTTGTTGTAAGCCAAACGTAACGTATCAGGTAATAGAAACTGAGGTAAATGGGCCGTTAGTGTGAGGTTTTATTTTAGTGTGTATAGGAACTGAGTTCTGTTTAAATGTTTTCTGTAGCCATAGATGCCAGAGACATCAGTTTCCTCTTGTGTCCTTACATTTTCCCCCTCTGTCTTGGGGTTTTCATAAGAAATTCTTTTTAAATTGAATTTGTTTCTTGCAGCTCTTTTAGTTGTAATCTGTAGTTATTATACTGTAGCCCTTCCCTTCTCAGAGAAGGGAAGTAATCTATAATTTTTTTTTTTTAGTGGGCCTGTGTCACTGGGCTATGACACTCAGATCTGTTTCTTAGCCTCTGTCACTTTCCCTTAGGTGAGGTAGAAAGGCTAGAACAACTGGAGTTGGCCAATTGCCACTTGCCCATGGAGATAAGGCTTTGGTGAAGTCCTTCCCCTAAAAGAACAGGCTGTGATGTGGAGAATGATCTGGGGTATCGGGAAATTGTTACTTTTCCTTCCCACTGCTGGGAGCACAAGGGGATTTTTCTTAGATCTTTACTGTGAAATTAGAACAAGTATATTTATTATTTCTTTATGGGATTTTGATTCCCTATCTTTGTGAGAAATATCACTTGCTCCTAGGCAGTACTTATAGTTCTATAAACTGTAAACATTTGTTTTTTTTAGTATTTGTGTTTAGGAATTTAATGTATTTGGAAATTACATCTTATGGATATCCAGATATCCCGGCACTATTTATTAAGTTATTCATCTTATTCCAACTGCATTATTCTATCACCTGTACCTTACATTAAAATCATATTGTTAGTGAGTATATTTCTGACATTTCTACTATTTTTCATTATTTAAGTTACTGTTTAAACATTATTTTATTTTATTAGCAGTTTTCTTCTTGTATCTAATAAGGTTAATTTTCCCCAACATATACTCACTGTTGTTTTTTAAAATCTTTTTCTTTGTTCTTCCTGACTAGATTTATTTGGATTGGGTTGGATTGGGCACATAAATATATTTCATAAAATATTAAATATACTCTTAATTACATAAAAAATCCCACCAAGGGCTTGACATGGTGGGTCACGCCTGTAATCCCAACACTCTGGGAGGCCGAGGTGGATGGATCGCCTGAGTTCAGGAGTTCTAGACCAGCCTGGCCAACACGGCCAAACCCTGTCTCTACTAAAAATACAAAAAATTACCTGGTGTGGTGGTGGATGCCTGTAATCCCAGCTACTCAGGAGGCTGAGGCAGAGAATCGCCTGAACTTGGGAGGCGGAGTTTGCGATGAGCCGAGATCCCGCCATTGCACTCCAGCCTGGGCAACAAGAGCAAAGCTCTGTCTCAAAAAAAAGAAAAAAGAAAAAGAAAAAGAAAAAAAAAAGTCCACCGAAGACATGTATTAGAATTATATAAAATTTAAATAATAATTTGGGAAATGTTGTTGTTGTATTGCCTTTTCATCCAAATATTCAAAAATATGATGTGCCTTTCATTTGTTTAGATACCATTTCATATATTCCAGTAAGATATTTTATATCATTACGTCATTTAAAAATTGTTTCTAGGCCCGGTGCGGTGGCTCACGCCTGTAATCCCAGCACTTTGAGAGGCTGAGACGGGCGGATCACTTGAGGTCAGGAGTTCCAGACCAGCCTGGCCAATATGGTGAAATCCTGCCTCTACTAAAATACAAAAATTAGCCAGGCTTAGTAGCACACGCCTGTAATCCCAGCTACTCTGGTGGCTGAGGCAGGAGAATTGATTGAACCCAGGAGGCGGAGGTTGCAGTGAGCCGAGATCACACCACTGCACTCCAGCCGGGGCGACAGAGCGACACTCCGTCTCACTAAAAAAAAAAAAAAAAAATTGTTTCTAAATAATTCAAACTTTTTGTAAACATTTTATTGTGATTTTTGTATCAATATTTGGTAACTTATTCTATGAATAAGAGAAGCTGTAATATTTATTAACTACCTAGTTACCTAAATTTCTTATTATTTCTAGTTTTTTTCTTAAATCATTTGTGTTTTCTATGTATATAATATAATGTACAAAATATAGTTTTATATATTTTTCTAGTATTTAATTCAGATTCCAATTTTATTAGAATAATACTTGCTTTTCCAAAAAATTAGCACTCTAATAATTTTGAGTTTACCTTTGTATGGGAGGAGGTTTTTTCCGTGCTGTCAGAAGTATGTACTTAATAATTTAATTTTTCTACCATCAGAATGCCAGCTCCTGTAAAAATTAATTTTAAAATTTGCTACCTGTTTGAAAGGGAAAATCATTTTTCAAGTTTGCACTTCTTTTTTAATTAATTATTTTAACTTGTTTTCATTTTTACTGAACATTTGTGGATAAATTTTGAACTGTGTGTTCACGTATTGCATCAAGTTTCTATTGCAGACTTATCTTTTTCTTAATGTATACAAGGTATATTTTTATATTTGGAAAATTGAACAATTCTTTTATGCATATTTTGAATATTTCTCCTTTTGTCTCTTTGTAGTTGTTTAATATGTTTTTATTTGTACTTTCAAAATTGTGTAATAGTTTTTTATTGTAAACATTTTATTTGTTTTATAAGAAAGACTAAAATCAAATTATGTATCAGATAATTTACAGCATATTTATCTACACTTTATCATTTTTAAAATTTAATTTTAAAATTAATCTTGAATGATTTTATGTTGGTTTATGTTATAAGAATGTAAATTTATTTCTACTTTTACTTAGCATTTTTGTCCAAAAGATTTGCTAGTAAAGTAAAGGTTATTATATACAGATTCCTTAAGTTTTTACCACAATTTATTATTCTTTAAATCTGTGAATTTTTCTTATTTTTTCCTATTCATGCTTTCCTTGCTTCCGTTCTGTGAGTTACTTTTTCTCTACTATATTTTATAATAAGTTATGGCTTTTAAGTAGTGAGCTGCTGCCTTTGTACAGGTATATTTGTCTTGAATCAAGATATTCTTCTTAAATATTTTTCACCTGATTTAAAATGTTTTCAATATGTAGTCACCTCATTTACAAATGATGATTATGCAAGTACCTAGTTTCTTCAATTGAATAAAATATAAATATACATCGCATCTTTAACTGCATAAAAATAGATAAATGGATACAGGAAATTCTGAGTAAATGACTATTTCTTAACAAAATATATTGTACTAAAATCTAGACAGACTGATTATCGCTAAAAATAACTGAATAGAAATATGTTTTCAAATTGTATAACAAACTAATAGATTTTTTAACTAAAATAAAAATGAAATGGAGGTGCTTGCATAATGCAGATACCCAGAATCCTGAAATGGGAATGACAGTGGCTCTCATAATAAACAATGATTAAGCATAAGGTAAATGGTAAAGTAAGGTGGAGTGTCTATTGACCAGCCTTATAGCTGTGGAACAAGGAGATTATCAGGAAAAAATCGGGAACATCGAAGAAGGAGAAAAGAGGAAGGGATAGTAGGAAGGATAATGTACTGTGCCTTTGAATCTGTCAGAATATGGCTTTGTTGTTATTCCTTAAATATCTATAAAAATAAATATATCTGTATGTATTTATATCAAGTATATGTGTCTATGTGTGTACAATTATTCTTTTTCCTACAAATGTCTATATAGGGTGTGCAGATTTGAGTGTACCTTTTGCTGTGTAATAACAGAAGAATGAGCATCATTCAAAAATTAGGTGACATTCTTAGAGAAAATATAATAGACCTATGTTCCCAGTTAACCAAAATGATAACCAATTTGTTCTACAATAATTAGAAAAATTGAATCCGCCATTAAATATTTGCCATAAAGGAGTCCTACCAAAACATTACAATGATAAAAACAATAACAATAAAATAAAGTAATAGAAATTCTGATAATTCAAATGTTAATTTTTTAAAAAAGGAAGTCCTCCTTAACCCTATTTATGATGTTAGAACATTTGATAACAAATTGGTTTGATACCAAAATAAAATTATATGCTAAACTCGCCAATATAAAAATAGAAAAATATAAGCAAACAATCCAAAAATTCAATTTAGAAGTTCCATCTGAGTAAGCTGGATTTATTCTATCAACGAAAGGTGATTCAATATTGAAACATTTATCAATGTAATTCACCACATTAAAAGATTAAAGCTAAGTAACACGTGAGCCTTTCAAAAAGCAAACAAATCTATACCAGCAAAATCAATAAAACTTACCAATTCAAGGGAAAAACGCAAGTCTTAGCTAAGAATAGATGGCAATTTCCTTAACTCAATAAAAGGTATTCAAAAAAAGATCCCCATGAAATAGTAGAGTAAATAGTGTAGTGTTTCGAACTCATTTAAAATAAGAAATAATATCAGGATAACTGTCATCACTATTGACTACTCAGAATTGTATTGGAGCTCCTCCTAGTCAGCCACCATAGTCAAGGCCAAGAGAGACAAAGTGTGTAATGAGTAGAAAAAATGTACAATTGACCCTTGAACAACACAGGTTTGAATTGCATGGGTCTATTTTACAAAGACTTTTTCCACTTCTGTCACCCCTGAGACAGCAAGTCTAACCCCTCCTTTTCCTCCACCTCCTCAGTCTACTAAACATGAAGATAAAGATAAAGATGAAGATTATATGATGATCCACTTCGACTTAATGAATACTAAATACATTTTCTATTTCTTATGATTTTCTTGATGACATTTTTTTCCTCTAGCTTACTTTATTGTAAGAATGGAGTATGGAATTCATAGACAAAATGTGTACCAATCAACTACTTACATTTTCAATAGGCTTCTGGCTAACTGTAGGCCATTAGTAGTTAAGTTTTGGGGGAGTCAAAAGTTACATGTAGGCCAAGTATAGTGGCTCATGCCTGTAATCCCAGCACTTTGGGAGGCCGAGGCAGGCAGATCACTTGAGGTCAGGAGTTCAAGGCCAGCCTGGCCAACATGGTGAAACCTCATCTCCACTAAAAATACGAAAATTAGCGGGGCACGGTGGTGGCGCCTGTAATTCCAGCTACTTGGGAGGCTGAGGCAGGATAATCACTTGAACCTGGGAGACGGAGGTTGTAGGGAGCTGAGATTGTGCCACTGCACTCCAGCCTGGGCGACAGAGCAGACTCTGTCTCAAAAAAAAACAAAAACAAAAAGTTACATGTAGATGTCCAACTACACAGAAGGCTGTCTCCCCTAAACCCCATGATGTTTGAAGGTCAACTGTATTTTCAGATGATGTGAATGTTTACATAAAATTCTGTATGTAATCTATATTTTATGGAATTCAAAGATTCTATAAGACAATTAGAATCAAGAAGAGAGTTTGGCAATGCTATTGGATATTAGATCATTACCTGGAAAGTAATTTGCATTTAAGTGATCTACGTATAAATGAGTTTATAAAACAAAGCCAAACAACTTTTAGAAATGTTAAAATTCCATGAATGGAGAATCATAACATCTTGATAAATAGTAAGGTTCAGTATTTCCTCCCTGTCAGTCTTCCCAAAATCACATAAAGATTCAATACAATTTCAATGTAAATATCATCACAGTTTTTTTATGGAACTTACTAAGTTGATTCTAAAATTTATACGGAAATGCAAAGTCCTAATAATAGCTAAGACCCTCTGAAAAAAGAACAAGCTGAGGGATATTGTTTCAAATATTATGAGTAATAATAAAGTTCAAGTTATTGAGATAGTCTCATATGTAATATAGTTAAACAAGACTAATGGAACCAAATAGAGAGCTCTGAAACAGACCCACAAATTTATCATACATAATATTTGGCAAAATCTACATTTTATGTAAAAGAGGAAATCATAAATTTTTAATAAATATTGAAACATTGGTTTTCTATATGGAAAAACAATATTGAATCTCTACCTCAAATCACTTACTAATAGATTAAGGGTTTAAATAAAAAAGAAAAAACTTCTCTTTGAAGAAAATTTAAGACTGTGTCTTTATATTAAGTATCATTCATCACTATAATCGAGGTGAAAAGTACTAATTATACACTTGGAAGAGAGCATTATTAAGAAAATTAAAAGAACCTCAGCAATGAACAATTACAAAAAGAACAATCAAGTACAAAAATCAGTAAGGAACTTGAATGGGCTTTTTACAGGAGAGGAAAAGGGAACAACATGAAAAAAATGTTAACTTGATTAATAATCATGGGTGTTCAAATTGCACACCAGATTAGCAAAAATAAAAATTTCATAATAATAAGTGTTGGGTAGAATGTGAATCAGTGGGAACACATAGACCCTGCTGTTAGGAGTGTTAATTATACAACCTCTTTCAAAAGACATCTATTACTAAGTAAGTTTGAATAGGTATCTATTCTTTTTTTTTTTTTTTTGAGACGGAGTTTCGCTCTGTCGCCCAGGCTGGAGTGCAGTGGTGCGATCTCGACTCACTGCAAGCTCCGCCTCCCGGGTTCACGCCATTCTCCTGCCTCAGCCTCCCATGTAGCTGGGACTACAGGCGCGCGCCACCATGCCCGGCTAATTTTTGTATTTTTAATAGAGACGGGGTTTCACCATGTTAGCCAGGATGGTCTCGATCTCCTGACCTCATGATCCGCCCATCTCGGCCTCCCAAAGTGCTGGGATTACAGGCGTGAGCCACCGTGCCCGGCCAGGTATCTATTCTTTAACAAGTAATTCAACTATTAGGTGATGAACCTAGAGAGGTCTTTGTTCATTTTCATCAAGAGACATATTCCACATAGGACATAATCACATTATCTATAAGACGAAAATGCTGAAAACAACCCAGATGCCACTAGTAGCATAATTAAAAATCATGCAAAGGAAAACTACACAACAACAGAAATAACATTATGATTATATACTTTATATTAAAAGTAAAAAAGACAAAAGTCACAGAAGAATCTATATTGTGTGATTCCATTATTGTCTAGGTCACAAATGAGCAAAACTAAACAAAAAAGTGATCCAATTAATTTTTATAGAGAATTATTAGCACAAAATTACGATGGTAATTACTTCCAGAGAGGCAAGACTGGGATGAAAGCCAAGAGATGCCCTCTGGGAATTTCCAACAATATTGACAACGTTCTATTTACTCAGCTAGACACAATGCATGTGCAAGTATTCCTTGACTGGTGTTCTTTATACTGCATCTATATGTCATACCTAGAGGCCAGAATAAAAAAATTGTAATATATTTAAATAAAGTATGCCTTTTTCTTTACAAAGAAAATTCAAATTACATTCCCAAAATGTCAACAATTTACTAAATTTTTTGTGTGTGTTTAGAAAGAATTATCTTGGGGAGTTAGTTGAAACTATCATAAGAAAGACTTCCTGAGTAACTCAAAATAAAGTCTTGAATGGGGGTGAGTAAAATTTTATGGTAGATGACCTTTAAACTTTTTGTCATTTGGGGGCTACTGCCTTAATTGTACTTCAACAATCTGTCAATCTGTCTAACTATAGCTCCCTTATAAAATCCTTATGTATTTATTTGTTTAACTCTCCTGACAACATCTTCATCTCATGAAGACTCTTGCCTCAAACATAGTGGTGCCCTGAAGGTACATAGCCCTCACGGAAGAAATCCCTACCCGGAATTAGGAAGTTGCTTTGCCTGAAGAAGGCAGATCAAGCCAGCGGAGAACTGGCATACATCCCCAGTCGAGAGATGAAACTGAGCTAATCATTTTAGACAGATATTCCATTGCCTGTACAGCTGGGTGTAGTGTGCTCATTTTGTAAATATCCTTTGCTATTTTCATAGTATCAGTCAGTTTGCTTGAATGAATTAAGAATTTGAAGTCTGCTTTGTCTAATGTCATGGTCATTCATATCCTGATAGGAAAATGCATGTATCCTAGTAAGCAATGATTCTCCCCAGCTCTTCTCTCCTGGTGACAGAAACTAAGGGATGAAACACAACACAAAGTCCTACCCTCAAGATTCTTAAACTCTTATAGTAGCTTGGCATTGTCATAATAGACATTGAATCCACTGAACTGAGTGCAATATTCAAGCCGCTGGTATATTTTGAGACTATAAGAGAAGAGAGATTCAGGAGAAATACATTTTTTCTTCTCTTTACAAAGCATGCGCCTACAGTTAACTTTCCCCACCCCCTTGAGCAGAAGCAGCAGCATGGGGTCCTGACCCAGAATGTCTTTAGAATATAGGATAAATTCAGGCAAACACTGTAAGTACCACATCTCTGATTAAGTGAGTAAAAGGTGTTTAAAAGCCATTTTAGTTAGCCAGAGGTGAAGAAAGGAAGGCCCAGAGCTGTTCAGAGAGTGAGAGTTAGAGGCAACTTCCATAAAACAACTGAATTGCTCTAATGGATAACAATTACCTTAATGATAACACAGAAAGTGTGGCAGATTGCTTTCTATTTCCAAAAAAAAAAGTTATACCAGTATCTGCTATCCTACAAGCTCTTCCAGATGCCCGCCACTCCTCCATCAAGAGTGGATTCTAAGCCTCTTCCTCTTTAACCTGGATAGATGTTTGTGCCTCCACTAAGACATGCAGAGACTACGTCACAGTGTGACTTTGTAGACTACATCAGAAAAGGAAACACACATTTCTGCCTGGCTGTGTGTGTCTTAGGACACTTGTTCTTCAAACCCACACAAGAGGAGGAAGCCCAGGCCACATGGAGAGTCTCATGTCTGGTAGAACAGAGTCCCCCAGCCCTCAGCCCCAGTGAGTTCAGTGCCTTCTCACCGGCTATGTGAGCGAATCAAGCTGGTAACAGACCCTCCAGCCTTGGCTGAAGCTGCCTTGAGTAGAATCACATTGTGTCTACAGTAAATAATGATTATTTTATTTTATTATTTATTTATTTTTTATTATTATTATTATACTTTAAGTTTTAGGGTACATGTGCACAATGTGCAGGTTAGTTACATATGTATACATGTGACATGCTGGTGTGCTGCACCCATTAACTCATCATTTAGCATTAGGTATATCTCCTAATGCTATCCCTCCCCCCTCCCCCCACCCCACAACAGTCCCCAGAGTGTGATGTTCCCCTTCCTGTGTCCATGTGTTCTCATTGTCAATTCCCACCTATGAGTGAGAAGATGCTGTGTTTGGTTTTTTGTCCTTGCAATAGTTTACTGAGAATGATGATTTCCAATTTCATCCATGTCCCTACAAAGGACATGAACTCATCATTTTTTAAGGCTGCATAGTATTCCATGGTGTATATGTGCCACATTTTCTTAATCCAGTCTATCATTTTTGGACATTTGGGTTGGTTCCAAGTCTTTGCTATTATGAATAGTGCCACAATAAACATACGTGTGCATGTGTCTTTATAGCAGCATGATCTATAGTCCTTTGGGTATATACCCAGTAATGGGATGGCTGGGTCAAATGGTATTTCCAGTTCTAGATCCCTGAGGAATCGCCACACTGACTTCCACAATGGTTGAACTAGTTTACAGTCCCACCAACAGTGGAAAAGTGTTCCTATTTCTCCACATCCTCTCCAGCACCTGTTGTTTCCTGACTTTTTAATGATCGCCATTCTAACTGGTGTGAGATGGTATCTCATTGTGGTTTTGATTTGCATTTCTCTGATGGCCAGTGATGATGAGCATTTTTTCATGTGTCTTTTGGCTGCATAAATGTCTTCTTTTGAGAAGTGCCTGTTCATATCCTTTGCCCACTTTTTGATGGGGTTGTTTGTTTTTTTCCTTGTAAATTTGTTTGAGTTCATTGTAGATTCTGGATATTAGCCCTTTGTCAGAAGAGTAGGTTGCGAAAATTTCCTCCCATGTTGTAGGTTGCCTGTTCACTCTGATGGTAGTTTCTTCTGCTGTGCAGAAGCTCTTTAGTTTAATTGGATCCCATTTGTCAATTTTGGCTTTTGTTGCACTTGCTTTTGGTGTTTTAGACACGAAGTCCTTGCCCATGCCTATGTCCTGAATGGTAATGCCTAGGTTTTCTTCTAGGGTTTTTATGGTTTTAGGTCTAACGTTTAAGTCTTTAATCCATCTTGAATTAATTTTTGTATAAGGTTTAAGGAAAGGATCCAGTTTCAGCTTTCTACATATGGCTAGCCAGTTTTCCCAGCACCGTTTATTAAATAGGGGATCCTTTCCCCATTGCTTGTTTTTCTCAGGTTTGTCAAAGATCAGATAGTTGTAGATATGCGGAGTTATTTCTGAGGGCTCTGTTCTGTTTCATTGATCTATATCTCTGTTTTGGTACCAGTACCATGCTGTTTTGGTTACTGTAGACTTGTAGTATAGTTTGAAGTCAGGTAGCATGATGCCTCCAGCTTTGTTCTTTTGGCTTAGGATTGACTTGGCGATGCAGGCCCTTTTTTGGTTCCATATGAACTTTAAAGTAGTTTTTTCCAATTCTGTGAAGTCATTGGTAGCCTGATGGGGATGGCATTCAATCTATAAATTACCTTGGGCAGTATGGCCATTTTCACGATATTGATTCTTCCTTCCCCTGAGCATGGAATGTTCTTCCATTTGTTTGTATCCTCTTTTATTTCATTGAGCAGTGGTTTGTAGTTCTCCTTGAAGAGGTCCTTCACGTCCCTTGTAAGTTGGATTCCTAAGTATTTTATTCTCTTTGAAGCAATTGTGAATGGGAGTTCACTCATGATTTGGCTCTCTGTCTGTTATTGGTGTATAAGAATGCTTGTGATTTTTGTACATTGATTTTGTATCCTGAGACTTTGCTGAAGTTGCTTACCAGCTTAATGAGATTTTGGGCTGAGACAATGGGGTTTTCTAGATATACAAACAATGTCGTCTGCAAACAGGGACAATTTGACTTCCTCTTTTCCTAATTGAATGCCCTTTATTTCCTTCTCCTGACTAATTGCCCTGGCCAGAACTTCCAACACTATATTGAATAGGAGTAGTGAGAGAGGGCATCCCTGTCTTACGCCGGTTTTCAAAGGGAATGCTTCCAGTTTTTGCCCATTCAGTATAATATTGGCTGTGAGTTTGTCATAGATTGCTCTTATTATTTTGAGATACGTCCCATCAATACCTAATTTATTGAGAGTTTTTAGCATGAAGGGTTGTTGAATTTTGTCAAAGGCTTTTTCTGCATCTATTGAGATAATCATGTGGTTTTTGTCTTTGGTTCTGTTTATATGCTGGATTACATTTATTGATTTGTGTATATTGAACCAGCCTTGCATCCCAGGGATGAAGCCCACTTGATCATGGTGGATAAGCTTTTTGATGTGCTGCTGGATTCGGTTTGCCAGTATTTTATTGAGGATTTTTGTATCAATGTTCATCAAGGATATTGGTCTAAAATTCTCTTTTTTGGTTGTGTCTCTGCCAAGCTTTGGTATCAGGATGATGCTGGACTCATAAAATGAGTTAGGGAGGATTCCCTCTTTTTCTATTGATTGGAATAGTTTCAGAAGGAATGGTACCAGCTCCTCCTTGTACCTCTGGTAGAATTCAGCTGGGAATCCATCTGGTCCTGGACTCTTTTTGGTTGGTAAGCTATTGATTATTG
Organism: Homo sapiens; assembly: GCF_000001405.40. Classification (NCBI taxonomy): domain Eukaryota; kingdom Metazoa; phylum Chordata; class Mammalia; order Primates; family Hominidae; genus Homo; species Homo sapiens. The sequence goes on along the minus strand of NC_000010.11, from coordinate 9,961,077 downwards.
CCACAATTTCAGCTCCTGTTATTGGTCTATTCAGAGATTCAACTTCTTCTTGGTTTAGTCTTGGGAGAGTGTATGTGTCGAGGAATTTATCCATTTCTTCTAGATTTTCTAGTTTATTTGCATAGAGGTGTTTGTAGTATTCTCTGATGGTAGTTTGTATTTCTGTGGGATCGGTGGTGATATCCCCTTTATCACTTTTTATTGCATCTATTTGATTCTTCTCTCTTTTTTTCTTTATTAGTCTTGCTAGCGATCTATCTATTTTGTTGATCCTTTCAAAAAACCAGCTCCTGGATTCATTAATTTTTTGAAGGGTTTTTTTTTGTCTCTATTTCCTTCAGTTCTGCTCTGATTTTAGTTATTTCTTGCCTTCTGCTAGCTTTTGAATGTGTTTGCTATTGCTTTTCTAGTTCTTTTAATTGTGATGTTAGGGTGTCAATTTTGGATCTTTCCTGCTTTCTCTTGTGGGCATTTAGTGCTATAAATTTCCCTCTACACACTGCTTTGAATGTGTCCCAGAGATTCTGGTATGTTGTGTCTTTGTTCTTGTTGATTTCAAAGAACATCTTTATTTCTGCCTTCATTTCGTTATGTACCCAGTAGTCATTCAGGAGCAGGTTGTTCAGTTTCCAGGTAGTTGAGCGGTTTTGAGTGAGTTTCTTCATCCTGAGTTCTAGTTTGATTGCACTGTGGTCTGAGAGACAGTTTGTTATAATTTCTGTTCTTTTACATTTGCTGAGGAGAGCTTTACTTCCAACTATGTGGTCAATTTTGGAATAGGTGTGGTGTGGTGCTGAAAAAAATGTATATTCTGTTGATTTGGGGCGGAGAGTTCTGTAGATGTCTATTAGGTCCGCTTGGTGCAGAGCTGAGTTCAATTCCTGGGTACCCTTGTTAACTTACTGTCTCATTGATCTGTCTAATGTTGACAGTGGGGTGTTAAAGTCTCCCATTATTATTGTGTAGGAGTCTAAGTCTCTTTGTAGGTCACTCAGGACTTGCTTTATAAATCTGGGTGCTCCTGTGTTGGGTGCATATATGTTTAGGATAGTTAGCTCTTCTTGTTGAATTGATCCCTTTACCATTATGTAATGGCCTTCTTTGTCTCTTTTGATCTTTGTTGGTTTAAAGTCTGTTTTATCAGAGACTAGGATTGCAACCCCTGCCTTTTTTTGCTTTCCATTTGCTTGGTAGATCTTCCTCCATCCTCTTATTTTGAGCCTATGTGTGTCTCTGCATGTGAGATGGGTTTCCTGAATACAGCACACTGATGGGTCTTGACTCTTTATCCAATTTGCCAGTCTGTGTCTTTTAATTGGAGCATTTAGTCCATTTACATTTAAAGTTAATATTGTTATGTGTGAATTTGATCCTGTCATTATGATGTTAGGTGGTTATTTTGCTCACTAGTTGATGCAGTTTCTTCCTAGTCTCGATGGTCTTTACATTTTGGCATGATTTTGCAGCAGCTGGTACCGGTTGTTCCTTTCCATGTTTAGTGCTTCCTTCAGGAGCTCTTTTAGGGCAGGCCTGGTGGTGACAAAATCTCTCAGCATTTGCTTGTCTGTAAAGTATTTTATTTCTTCTTCAATTATGAAGCTTAGTTTGGCTGGATATGAAATTCTGGGTTGAAAATTCTTTTCTTTAAGAATGTTGAATATTGGCCCCCACTCTCTTCTGGCTTGTAGAGTTTCTGCCGAGAGATCTGCTGTTAGTCTGATGGGCTTCCCTTTGTGGGTAACCCGACCTTTCTCTCTGGCTGCCCTTAACATTTTTTCCTCATTTCAACTTTGGTGAATCTGACAATTATGTGTCTTGGAGTTGCTCTTCTCAAGGAGTATCTTTGTGGTGTTCTCTGTATTTCCTGAATCGGAATGTTGGCCTGCCTTGCTACATTGGGGAAGTTCTCCTGGATAATATCCTGCATAGTGTTTTCCAACTTGGTTCCATTCTCCCCGTCACTTTCATGTACACCAATCAGACGCAGATTTGGTCTTTTCACATAGTCCCATATTTCTTGGAGGCTTTGTTCGTTTCTTTTTATTCTTTTTTCTCTCTGTTCGTTTCTTTTTATTCTTTTGTCTCTAAACTTTCCTTCTCACTTCATTTCATTCATTTCATCTTCCATCACTGATACCCTTTCTTCCAGTTGATCGCATCGGCTCCTGAGGCTTCTGCATTCTTCACGTAGTTCTCGAGCCTTGGCTTTCAGCTCCAGCAGCTCCTTCAAGCACTTCTCTGTATTGGTTATTCTAGTTATACATTCTTCTAAATTTTTTTCAAAGTTTTCAACTTCTTTGCCTTTGGTTTGAATTTCCTCCTGTAGCTCGGAGTAGTTTGATCGTCTGAAGCCTTCTTCTCTCAACTCGTCAAAGTCATTCTCCATCCAGCTTTGTTCTGTTGCTAGTGAGGAACTGCGTTCCTTTGGAGGAGAAGAGGCACTCTGCTTTTTAGAGTTTCCAGTTTTTCTGCTCTGTTTGTTCCCCATCTTTGTGGTTTTATCTACTTTTGGTCTTTGATGATGGCAATGTACAGATGGGTTTTTGGTGTGGATGGCCTTTCTGTTTGTTAGTTTTCCTTCTAACAGACAGGACCCTCAGCTGCAGGTCTGTTGGAGTTTGCTAGAGGTCCACTCCAGACCCTGTTTACCTGGGTATCAGCAGCAGTGTCTGCATAACCGCGGATTTTCATGATCCGCAATTGCTGCTGTCTGATCGTTCCTCTGGAAGTTTTGTCTCAGAGGAGTACCCGGCCATGTGAGGTGTCAGTCTGCCCCTACTCGGGGGTGCCTCCCAGTTAGGCTGCTCGGGGGTCAGGGGTCAGGGACCCACTTGACGAGGCAGTCTGCCCGTTCTCAGATCTCCATTTGCATGCTGGGAGAACCACTGCTCTCCTCAAAGCTGTCAGACAGGGACATTTAAGTCTGCAGAGGTTACTGCTGTCTTTTTGTTTGTCTGTGCCCTGCCCCCAGAGGTGCAGCCTAAAGAGGCAGGCAGGCCTCCTTGAGCTGTGGTGGGCTCCATCCAGTTCGAGCTTCCCGGCTGCTTTGTTTACCTAAGCAAGCCTGGGCAATGGCAGGCGCCCCTCTCCCAGCCTTGCTGCCACCTTGCAGTTTGATCTCAGACTGCTGAACTACTCAATATTGGAGTGATTTGTTCTACTAGTAATATATAGCTGCAACAGAAATCCATAAGTTATGGCTGAGTAGACATAAAAGTATAAAGACATAAAAAATAAATAAATAATAAGACACCTCCACCAAAAAAAAAAAAAAAAAAACAAGAAAACAGAACAACCCCAAAACATTTCACGGGCTTTAATGGAACCTTACAATCAAAGTTTATGAAACTTCTTCAAAGAAAAATTCTGTGGGACCATTGGAAGAAGTTATTAAAAGTAAGCTTTGAATGAAAGAGGCAATTGAGCAAATAATTAGAGTACTTCACTTAAGTTTTTGTAGAATTTCTTTGGATGAATCACTCTCCTTAGTTCTCCATTGACACAGGGTTGAACTATGCAAATGAGGCCTTCTAGGACTTCCCGGCAAGGAAAGTATCAACAATTATTGAGTCTTAACAAAGTCCTCTTAACTTCTGGAGGGCTGAAATTGCAGAAGTGCTGAATATAATGTGTAAACTTAGTTTTGTAAAGGTCTTATTCTATATGCATTAGTAATGTTGAGCTTTTATCTCTTTATATGAATGGAAATCAAAGAAGACCCTCTACTTGAATAAAATTTACTTCCTTAAGACAATCAATCACTTACATGCACATAATTTACTTGGGGAAGGCAAAATGGATTTTGTAGGGGACATGATCTCTGACTATTAAATAAGATATATTATTCCTTAGGCATTAAAAAATTTAATATTTGACATCATATGCTTATTTGTTTATTTATTTAGTTAAAGCCTTTAAGCAACATTCTTTGATTCTATGAACTTGAAGCCATCTCTGGTAAGATACTTTCCTAAAACTCTCTTTGCTTATGTTGATGCAACTCTAAGGATAGAAATTGCTTCATGGAGCTCACAGGAGTCCACAAGTGTGAACCAGATACTCAGAGAGGAATTATAAGGATGGTGTGGGAAAGTTATGAGATGCCTGGAGCTCCTTCTATTCTCCCTTATTCAACTGGACATAATAAATACAAAATAGAATGGAGTTGCTCTAATTACAAGTAGTTTCAAATGTATAACGTGGGAAATAAAGAAATGTCGGCCGGGTGCAGTGGCTCATGCCTGTAATCCCAGCACTTTGGGAGGCCGAGGCGGGTGGATCATGAGGTCAGGAGATCGAGACCATCCTGGCTAACAAGGTGAAACCCCGTCTCTACTAAAAATACAAAAAATTAGCCGGGCGCGGTGGCGGGCACCTGTAGTCCCAGCTACTCGGGAGGCTGAGGCAGGAGAATGGCGTGAACCCGGGAAGCGGAGCTTGCAGTGAGCCGAGACTGCGCCACTGCAGTCCGCAGTCCAGCCTGGGCGACAGAGCGAGACTCCGTCTCAAAAAAAAAAAAAAAAAAAAAAAGAAATGTCAGGACAGGATATCAAGTAGACCAATTACACAGGCACAAAACCAATGTCACACCACCCACAGTTTTGAGGATTTTTTGTTTGTTTTTAGTTTAGTGCGATATTGGTTATCTAGGCTTTCTGCTGGTCTATCCTTGTTTTCCTAGCAATGTAATGTTAAGATACCCAAGTGATTCTGGTGGCACAGGTTAGTCCCATAGAACAGAATGTGTTAAATTAATTGGTGTTCATGGGAGCCAGCTCTTAATCTCAAAATCATTAATATAAAATTTTAACTAACTGTACATACAAAAGATTTTGGAAAAATCAGTACAGTCAAATCCATGGACATTCTTTTATTATGTTATTTTATACATATAGATGTACATATATAAATCTATATCTACATCTACCTACCCTTCTATTCATCTACCCATCTGTCTATCCATATTTTCTCATGCTAATGAACATAAACTCTTTTTTTTTTTTTCTTTTTGAGACCAAGTCTCACTCTTGTTGCCCAGGCTGGAGTGCAGTGGCCCGATCCCGGCTCACTGCAACCTCTGCCTCCTGGGTTCAAGCAATTCTCCTGCTCAGTCTCCCAAGTTGCTGGGATTACAGGCACGTGCCACAACACCTGGCTAAATTTGTTTGTAATTTTAGTAGAGATGGGGTTTCACCATGTTTGCCAGGCTGGTCTCAAACTCCTGACCTTAGGTGCTCTGCCAGCCTTGGCGTCCCAAAGTGCTGGGATTACAGACATGAGCCACCCCACCTGGCTGGACATAAACTCTAATAAAAGATTACATTTCTTGAAAAAGCAATCTCATATCCTTAAACCAAGAAAAGAAACTCTGACACATCTACCAATCAATATAATTTGACTGAATTAGCGGAAGATTGTAAAGGCCTTTTGAAGACAGACAACCTCATATAATTAGGGAAGCGTGTAGCATTTAGATGTGGGGCATATAATTTAATTCACAAAGTAGGAAGCTTTAAAATGGGTGGATTCTTTTATTTTTCAACTGAATATGCTCTCTATTTTGAAAAGCATCCATTGATTTAGTGTAAAAGAGGTAATGTGAAATATTTTAAATTTTAAGTTGGGTTAGACGCACAGTCACACTGAACAATATTTCTAAATAAAGTATAGAACAAAACACCAGATATACAGCCTGTTCACAACTGCATTTCATTTTCTTTTTAAATTTTGGCTAACTGAAGTCAACAAAAGTTCAATTATTCATTCCTCTTTGTTTTCAAATTAAATGTGCTAAAGGATATTTTATATACTTATGCATTTTTCAAAGAGCTTAAGGTAGCTGATTTATTCATGAACTGTTAAGGGGACACAAATCCCCAAAGTGATGCTAATTTTTAAATTAAATATACATAAATTAATCCACATAACTCTGGGAACAAAATAATTCTTAGAAAAATGCATGGAATTCATTATGAGCCATTAAAGAAGCAGTCAGTAATTACTAGCAGTGAGAACAATTTATAATATAAACTTAGACTTCTTTTCTGTTTTGTAGTGATGAAGCTTACCTAGATTTAGAGAATCCAATGGCTGTTTGTTGTATTTTCTTGAAAGAATCATTTCAAATTTTCTGCGCTTATAGAAAAAATACTACTACTAAATCTTCGAGAAATAGAGCTTAGAATAGAAAACTTTCGACATGAATATCATTAAGGCTAGAGCTCCTTCATAATCTCAGTCTTTTGTTAGTTAAATAATTAGCTCTCTTTCATGCTCTTGCCTAACATTGCATTTTGCTCCATAGAGAATATTGTGTGAATGAGTTTAAACATTAATTCACTTGCCTCCATCATAATGATAGCTGCATGTAATGTCTCGAGCAGGCTACATACTCTCATAAGTATGTTACATTACCTTGGTTAGTCTGAGTTACTTCAAACCTATGAAATGAACTCTCTCACCTCCATTTTATGTGAGGAGGTACAGTAGTTTTCTTTCTGTCAGGGGTCAGCAAACAATGCTCTAGGGTCCAAATTTGCCCACCTTATTAGTAAATAAAGTGGTATTGGAAAACAGAGAAGTCAGTTCATTTCCATATCGTTTATGACTGCTTTCTCTCTACCACAGCGGAACTCAGCGTTGGCAACAGAGAACATACACTTGGCAAAGCAAAAATACGTATTTTTGGCTCTTTATGAAATGTTTACTGATCCCTGCTCTGCCCTAGGTCACTGACTTTCAAATCTAGGGTTTTCTCTGGCTAAAACCTGCTCTTTTTACTGTACCATGATACAAGTCAAAGGGAAAAAAAAGTTAAGAAGAGGAGTACATTATGAACTTACTCATTTTTAAAACAAGACTTTTTTGCCTTGATAATCTGCAATAATGGAATGAGGGTTTTAGGTTTAAATTCTGTCCTAGAAAGGTATTATCACCGTGAACCTGGACCAGATGTGTAAATATTCACGGACTCAGACATATCACTTAAAACTGAAAATAATACCTGATTTTTGTGCACCCAAAGGTTTGGGACAGAAAGGTACTTTATAACTCAATTTTCTATTTTTCTGTAATTCCAATTCCCAGGCCAGACATGTGGCAAGTCTAATTTAGTTTGTTGAAAATGATCTAAAATAGTTTGCAGTATAGTTTTTAATTACCATTGTAAGTGAAATATGCTTAAATGAACAAAATAATAAACCATATATTTATGACCTATAGTAGTTCATTTTGAGTCATTAGGAAACATAACCAATAGAATTCAATTAAATACAAAGAAATTCTTTTTTTTTATTTTTCAAGCATTTTTTCATGTCCTCTAGAGGATTATGATTGATATTTGTATAGCTATTAATTTAATGTTAGAATCACTTTTATATATATTGCTTCTTTTGAATTACCCACATAGACAAACACACATAATATACAAGCAAGTATGGCCTACTTAATCTAATTAAAATTTAATAAAAAGCTACAATGTATAAATTACTATCCTAGGTGTTAGGCATCAAATGCTTATGTTCTCGAGGGGAAGAAAGATCATGAAACACTTTTTTTTTTATGATACTAAGCAAAAAGTTTTACAAGGAAGGTAAATAGGACACCATGACAGACAGTTTGGAAAAACTGGTATTGCAGATTCAGGCAGGGTCAGGTGATGGAAGTGCCTCAGTGTGGCAAGAAGACTTCACCCCAGCACCATGGCACTACTGGCACTTTAGGCAAGAGGGTTCTTTGTGGTGCTGTCCTGGGCATTGTAGGAAACGTAGCAGCATCCCTGACTTCCACTCACTAAACGCCAGTAGTAGCTGTGTGTTCCTTAGTTGTGACAACCAAACCCATATGCAGATGTTGTCAGATATCCTTTGGGGGCAAAATGACCCCACATTTTGATGAATGGACCACAATTTAATGAATGGATGAGAACCACAATTTAAGAACCACAATTAGATGAATGAACGAGATAAGCCAAAAATGAATCTAGGACATGAAAACAGATTAAATGCCTATTTGAGTCTTCCCGATGAGAAAGAGTAGAAGAGGAAGGAATGAGATGAGGGCATAATTTGGAGGTAGAAAGTAGAGAAGCTGATGGATTGAAAGTGGGCTCTACAACAGCTGTCCAGTTTTAACAGGAAGAAAAATCATTAGGAGAGCTTGTTATGAAGTGAAAATTAGGGCAATTTTGAATCATTTGTATAAAGAAGGCGTACAGGAATTCAGTTTTTAACATACATCACATTTTAAGAAAAAGTGGTGTAGACAGTAGAAAACAATTAGAAGAAGGGCTGGGAATAATGAGAGAGTAACACAGTTTCTAGGATAGCTAGAAGAGTTGACCAAGAAATCATAATAAAGTGGGATGTAGCACTTTGCGGGCTGGGAATGTATGAATAAACTTTGGTGTCTTGGTAATTAAAACAACAGATAGTTTTGCTCAGGAGCTTACCTGGCAAGCAAATGCAAGAATATGCCTGTTTTCTTGTAAATGAAGGCATTTGCTTATTTTTCAGAAGTAAACTTCTATAAGCGATGGCTTATAAGACTATTTTCCAGAAATCTGTAAACTTATACCATCTTTAATATTGAGAGAAGGATTCTCTAGGCCTAGGTTACTCTGCTGCTTTTAACAATTCCAGGAAATAAAAACTATCACTTAACAATTGTCAAAAATACGTATGACTCCTAAGAACATTTTAATAGATATAAAGTGAGATTATCTGGGCAAACATTTCGTGCTCATGATTTGTAAGCTTAAAGTTCCTGTTTCCAAATGGCAAAAGGAGAACAGCATTTTTTATATATTTATAACATTTCTGTGGCATGAAATTTTCCTCCAAGGAGCTAAAGCCTCCAGCAGCTTCTAAGTGGATAAGCACAGATAGCAAAGGCCCTAATAGAGCACATATTATATATTGGAGGGACAGAGTGGTTCTCTATTAGGTCTTTTGCTATCTGTGCTTATCCAGTTAGAAGCTTTTGGAGGTTTTAGCTCCTTGGAGGAAAGTTTCATGACACAGACCATTGCCTCTCAGTACTTCCTGTGGTTTATCATGTATGGCTCATGTTCAAGAGTCCTGCGGTTGATGTTACTAAAATGAAATGACCCTGCAGGATTACAAAAAATGATAAATATGATCTTATAAGTCAAACATTTTACCTCCATAACTTCAATTTTTTATTTTAGATCTTCCTAAGCCATTCATAATATTAGGCTTCTTAAGCAGTATTTATCAGTGCTAGAAATAACTCTTTTGTCCAAAGGAAAGAAGAACAATTTATTCTTCTAAAATATTCACTGCAGTTTTAAGAAGAAGTCAAAGAGAAGCATTTTTAAACATTTTGCTCAACATTTGCTGGTAGCTAGTAAAATAGAAAACAAGGTTCTTGAAACTGGCATTTCCACTAGTCATGCATCTCCATTTTGCTGAAGGAAACACACTGATCTAATTATAAATATTTTGTAGTATCTGTAATTTTCTTTAAAAATTCTCCTACATAGTATGCAATTTGTGCTTAAATTATAAGCTAATGGAATTTAATTAACATGTATACTCTAATTGGATATACACATTCACAGCAGTGGTATTTTAATTAGCATGATGGCAGTTAGAAATAGTTTTTTTTTTAATTATTGTTGAAATGTAGTGATGTTAAAGATATGTGGATTGGATGGAAATGTTGCAGGCATTACCATCGTGGTCTGAATAGTGTATAATGATGGAAGTGATTCATTTTCCTTTCCCTTTGAAATGGAGGCCTAGGTTGGGATTCTAATCTCCAGGGTGCCTAACAGGGATTTCATTTCACTTGTATTTCCTTGCCTCGCCATGTTAATAAATATATGTACTTGTGGGAGAATTAGTCTGAAACTTCTTTCTTGGAACCACTTATCTTATAGCACAGATACCAGGAAGGAGAGCTAACAACATCTTTCATTGACTCTAAAATGTACCTTTAAAAAATAATGTAATATTTCCTTAGGAACACTTTTACACTGTTGATGGGAAGGTAAATTAGTTCAACCATTGTGGAAGACACTGTGGTGATTCCCCAAAGATCTAGAACCAGAAGTACTATTTGGCACAGCAATCTCATTACTGGGTATCTACCCAAAGGAATATAAATCATTCTATTACAAAAATACATGCACACATATGTTCACTGCAACACTATTCATAATAGCAAAGACATGGAATCAACCCAATGCCCATCAATAATAGAATGGATAAAGAAAATGTGGCACATATATACCGTAGAATACTATGCAGCCATAAAAAGGAATGACATCATGTCTTTTGGAGGGACATGGATAGAGCTGGAAGCCATTATCTTCAGCAAACTAATGCAGGAACAGAAAACCAAACACTGTATTTTCCATTTATAAGTGGGAGCTGAACAATGAGAACACATGAACACAGGGAGGGGAACAATACACACTGGGGCCTGTTGGTGGGTAGGGTTGGGGGAGGGAGAGCATTAGGAAAAATAGCTAATGCATGCCGGGCTTAATACTTAGGTGATGCGTTGACAGGTGCAGCAAACCACCATGGGACACATTTACCTGTGTAACAAACCTGCGCATCCTGCATATGTACCCCAGAACTTAAAATAAAAATAAAAATTAAACAAAAATACATTGGGTGATAAGTCATGCAGTTCTAAAGGGTAAGTATGATTCATTCTGTATATATGACTTATAGTATTTGTAAATTCCTGGGTTATCTGTAATTCTTAACAATTAGCCTGTGTATTCCTTAATGTTAAGTGAGAAAGTAAGTTTGACATATCAGAAACTCACTGGGAAAACCACTGGGATCTGAGCGCATTCTTTAAAGGAAATTTAACTCTGAACACTAAAACAGAGTCCAGTAGAGGAAGTCAAAACAAGGCATTCCAAGTTCTTAGCAGAATGGCCGAGTTCAGGGATTATTTTACTCTCTTCCACAAAGAAACAAAGAATTTGGAAATCAAATGTGCATAAAGGAAAACTACATACTTGAAGTTTTTGGTCAACCAAAACATACTACCTGTAGATAAAACTAATGGTGAGAAAGCTTATGAAAATTAAAGTAGTAAATAATTTAGTTCTCACCAGAGATAGTCTTGAACTGACTTGTTTAAGATGTTTCTTAAGAAGTTATTTCATTCTCCAAACTCCTCAAGATGATAAAAATAAAGAGGAAAATAATGAATTAGAAATATATAACATTTATTAAATCAGGACTTATACAGTCTCTGTTCCCTAGATAGTAGTCAGGAAATACGTGTTATTGTCAATACATTCTGCCAAGATAAAAAAGTGCCATTTTAACTAGCATTTTAACTAGTCTTGAAATAAGAGATGACAGTGTGGACTCATTGCAGAAATATTGCAGCGAGAACCTTGATGGAACAGGGGATTATTTTTCAGGGGCACAGGGGGAGGACCCCTGATATTGATGCCTTTGGGTCCCAACTTGATTTAAAAGAGAGAAATTTTGAATGTGAAGATATTTTAAGAACACATTAACTAACGTACTTTCCATATATTTTTCATTTAATATATACAAAAGAATAATATACAATAATAATTTTTAAAAACTTATGTCTACATCAAATAGCTCTTTGACTAAGCATAAAAAGATTATAAGTGGTAATAAAGATGTGTTCCACAGTCTAGCAGCAAATTATTTTCTTAGTTTTGAATAAAACAACAGTTTGTTTTAAAATGGATGGCATTTTAGTCTGGGCACAGTGGCTCATGCCTGTAATCCCAACACTTTGGGAGGCTAAGGTAGGTGAATCACTTGGGGTCAAGTGTTCGAGACCAGCCTGGCCAATAAGGTGAAGTCCAGTTTCTACTAAAAATACAAAAAAACTTATCTGGGTGTAGTGGTACATGCTTGTAATCCCAGCTACTTGGGAGGCTGAGGCAGGATAATCGCTTGAAGCCAGGAGGCGGAGGTTGCAGTGAGCTGAGATCTTGCCACTGCACTCCAGTCTGGGTGACAGAGTGAGATTCTGTAGCAAAAAAAAAAAAAAAAAAAAATCACAAAAGGATGGCATTTTAGAATTTATGAAATACGGTAATTTTGAATGCTGGACAAGTCTCAGTTTACTTCTTACAACACCCTGGCCAAATTGAACAGTTCCTCCCAGACCCAGACAACTAGACTGAAGGGTGTTACTCACTCTTGGGAGCTCACAAACTCCAATTCCAAAGCCACTTGGAAATAGTCTCAATTTTTTTCTCATATCCTCCCCTCATTCCCATACTGGTGCATCTGTGCAAATTCAGCCCTAGAAATAGCAATAGTTCCTCAAAGTAAATATCCAAATGAACTATAATAATGACCCTGGGTTATACTTCAAATTACTTTATTACTTTACAATTCTTCAAATTACTTTAGGGTGTGCTTTCAAACATAATCTATACCCGGCAGGTGGTTATAACATTAAATTGCACAATAACAGAATTATTCTGTGCTTTAACAGATTACAAAAATAGTCAAGATTAAGACAATATGAAATGAATGAATCCAAGCTACTAGCCCATCAATTAATGCTTTGCTATCTCTTGTCTGAATAGACAACATGGGATCATTTTGTGCCTATCAACATATCAAAGTTTTAAATGTAGGATCCCTCTTCCCCAACACAAGGAAACCAAATCCTGTTGCCATGTGGTTTTGTTTTAGTACAAGGTTTTTCTTTTTCTTTTCTTTACCCCTTCCCTCAGATGTTTAGATTTTGCAAAGTTTGTGATGATTAAAACATCAAAATACAAGCTCATAGGAGAAAAAAAAACTAAAAAATTCCAACATTTAACGTACATTTTATTCATACTAAAAATAACACAAAGTCATAAAATATTGCATTGAGTCATAAAATATTGTAAAGAACACAGGTGTATATTTCAAGAAATTCTGTGGGAATTAAAAAAACAAAAACTTGCCCCAAGAGAAAGTATGCTGAAATGAGAAGAAACCCCAAACATCAATAAGGATGAACTTATATCAATTAAAGTTGGCTGCATTTTAAGTTAAAATAACGTGGAAAAATTATAAATGAAAAAAGAAATTACAGAAGGGGCTTTTAAAATAAAGTCTTCAATATATAATTCTGTGTATAATTTTTCACGTGCTACCCCTGTAAAGCTTAGTGTGGCTGTAGCAGAAGAACATTCCCACCAGAGCGTCACTCTGGGAACCTCAACCGGGTGGAGGGCCTTTGCAGAAAAACCTGAGTGCTATTAAAGTCTCTAGTGGGAATTGAGAGCAGCTCTTTGGGTTTCACAGAATGAAGGAATAAATAAATAAATAAATACATAAAGGAAGTAAAGGGGTATGAAGCTGGTACAGGAGAGATTAAAAAGACAATAACTAAAATAAAACTCCCTCTCATATAACCAGCTGGAGGTGCCTTGCATAGGATGTGTGAGTTTCTGAAACAGGACAAAGCAAATTGCTAGGGGCAACAACTTCATGGTTGGTGGATTCCTGCCTAAGTACCTGCATTCCTCCTTTCCCATTTCTTCACTGGCAGAATCGCTTCCACCAAGAAACGTCAGGAGTAAAAGAAGGGGTGCCTACCATCAATGAGGTAGTAACTAGGGCATAGACTATCAATATTCACTAAAATGTGCATAAATTTGGGCTTTAAGAAGTAAGCACTGGCCTGGCGCGGTGGCTCATCCCTGTAATCCCAGCACTTTGGGATGTCGAGGCGGGCGGATTATGAGGTCAGGAGATCGAGACCATCCTGGCTAACACAGTGAAACCCCATCTCTACTAAAAATACAAAAATATTAGCCGGGCGTGGCGGCGGGCGCCTGTAGTCTCAGCTACTCGGGAGGCTGAGGCAGGAGAATGGCGTGAACCCGGGGGGGCGGAGCTTGCAGTGAGCCAAGATGGCGCCACTGCACTCCAGCCTGGGCGACAGAGTGAGACTCCATCTAAAAAATAAATAAATAAATAAAAAATAAGTAAGCACCTTACTCACTCAAGGAGATCTGGAATTTACCATGAAGAAAACAAGAACTCCAGATGTAAACATATAGACATCAGGCTCAAAGGAATAAGAAGTGTTAAGTATGTCTTTGTCGTATTGAAGCCCATCAACCGAAGAGCACTAGGAACATACTTGTAGCCACGTAAAGTTAAAAGTTACTCTTCTTTGGCTGCTGCAGCGTGGAGAATATGCTTCAGTGGAGTTTTGGGAAATCTCAGGAAGAGAAAGGTGGGAAGGGCAATCCTTACAGGAAGGGCAATCCTTATGGGAAGGGAGGGTTTAGATTTGTGCTAGATGATTCTGATGAAGGTCTAGGGAAAGGGGCCTTATGAGGGTTTAGATGCTGTCAAGAAGCAAGTAGAATTCAGAAATTTGATATTGCAATAATGTTTGTTCTCGGAGTGTAAAGATTACAGTGGAGCTAGGATTGAAATTGGCGAAGAAGTAGCGATATTTCAAAATAAAGTAAATTAGTCATTTGGAGGATTGCAGTTTGATCTGATCTAATTCCACCAGTCTTGTTGAAACCGTTGTTACATTGAGAACATTGCAGCTTGATTAGCAGCTGGGCATGTGTTTCATTTCCTCAGTAGGGTTGACCAGAAAACATAATGAGTCGAAAGATTTACCGGAAAGCTCTATACATTGCTTTCTTATTGACTCTTGACATCTACAAAACATAATCAAAATGAATGAAAGTGGATTGATTGATTATCCTGATAATGCTATGAAATAGCAATAAATAAATACATATATGGCCCAGGTTGGACCTCGTTGTATCAGAGGCACCGTGTACTTTGGCCACCATGAGCTAGGTAGAAGATCCGCCTCACTGAGTCACCCAAGTAAGGCAGCCACCATCACGAAGGATTTGAAACAAAAAAGAAGAGAAGGGGAAGTTTGGTAGCTTCAGAATGTTGCCAGCCACGGATTTAATGTGAAATACCTAGAGTTCTGTGTTCTATAATCCTGTGAACATAAATGGTGTGATCACCACTTGCTTTGAATGACAAGCACCCCCATATATATGAAATTAAGAAGACTGTTCATAAAATCTTTGTTCTGGTTCCATTGAGCCCTTCAGGGGGATTGCAGGATAATTAAGTGGAAAAAGTCTAGGTACTAGGATTTTTTTTTCTTTTTTTCTGACAAGCCCATTTTTTTGGAAGACACTAGGATTTGAATCACATATATCATGGATGTGACATTCAAAAGGAATTCAATCTCTTTGAGCTTTGGTTTCCTCATTGTAAAATACAGATGGTAATATAGACCTTTTAAGTGTTGCTAATACTGTTAATCAAAATTTGCAAAAATGATCCACACAAAGTAGATCCATGAAATTAGTGTGAGCAAAATATAAATATGAATCTGATTCCTCTCATTCCAAAATTTACTTGCAAATATTCAAATATCTCTTGGTTAATCAAGAAATACCTATCATAAATTCTTTGTGGTTGGAAGTTTTCAAGTAATGCAAAGGGACATAAATTAGCTTTGGCCAAAAAAAAAAAATTATGAGGAAGAAGAAAGAGGAGGAGGAGGAGGAGGAGGGCTGTGGGTGGGGTGGGAGTGTTTATATAAAGCATAGTACTTAGTTTCTGGGCATCCAGGAGGCACGAAGAGATCCAGAGGTAGGGATCAGCAAAGCCATTTGTAATACAGACTACAGAAATATTCTCTGCATTTCTTGTTTTCGCTTACCCCTCATTTTCTACCTTATTGATCTCTCTTTGCGACTCAGATTTGTCAATGCTTCACATACATGTGTACCCAACAATTAAGAGACTTCATATTCACCATTCAAGGGACCACAGAGACTAAGTGGTGATCACTCATTTCAGCTCCTAGGGGAAGAAAATCTGATGTCACAGAGGGTGATGCAGATCTTGAGATTTAAACATAGCTGTCAGAGGCTCGGTTGCTTTTGAATAAAGGCCATCAATAAGTCATTGGCAGTTGGGAAGATATAGTAAATGATATTTGCCACAAATATCTAATAATGAATATTCAATATTTTTCTAGGTCATGGTGGCAAGAGTAGTATTCAAATTTTGTTTGCATTTAAAGATTAATGTGACTGAAATAATACTAATTCTCATGGGGGAAGCATTTTCACTGCCATTGTTTCACTAATCCCCACAAATCCATGGGTAAGTCATGTTATTATCCTCAATTACTAATGAGGACCTTAGGCCTAGAGAGGGTATTCAAATGTGCATGCTTTTAAGGTCTATAATTGAGAGCAGAATGACTTTACACCTATTGAATAGTCCAAAATAGATTTGGGATCTAAAAAGCAGAAATATGCCAGTACTCTACTTAAACAAGGAAGACATTTCTAATGAATGTTAGGCACATTTTGAGACAAGGAAGGTGAGAGAAAATTACCTGATTTTAGAATAACTAACGTTTTGAAAGTAATCACACACACAAAAAAGTTTTACTTCAATGACTATGATCAACCTAAAAATTTTAAAAAAATCAAAAAAAAATTTCAACCTGTGATTTCAAAGAACCTCTTTATTTTATAGAGTTTAAATTTTTAAGTTCTGAGACACACAATTTGAACTGTATCTTTAAATAATACAAAGACTGAAAGAAGCTGATGTGCAGTGGTACTAATCCTTAACTTTATAAATTACAGCAGTTTAGCTAATGCACCTGATCAGGAAATTGGTCAGGCATGCGTCAGCCATACTTAGACAATCACTTGATTTAGAACTAAAGCCAATTCTTTACTTAAGAAAAGGTGGAATAAAAACCAGCCTTCCAGAGGGAAAAGAACTACGTGAGAGAAGAGATGAAGAATAAAGGTGACAGGGCAAAGTCAAAAATAGTAATTATAACTTCTTGTGGGAGGGCTAACTTTGAGGGTTAAAACTTGTCTTACAATTTTGTGAACATGGAATATTAACCTGATAAAAAGGGAAGCAGTATGTCAACTTCCACCTTACAATTCAAACACATATAGATTTTCAGCAAACACATCTTCATACAGGAAATAAAAGAGCCCAGTTTTATATAGGTTGCAGCTCCTAAGCCAGTTTTCTATAAATAACCCATGGCTGTCAAGCGAATTGCAGTCTTCTCCAGCTAAGAAAGCTGTAGGCAAACCCAGAAGCCTATTAAGAAGGAAAAGACAGGCTTTGGGCATCTAATTGCGTTAGCTCATCACCAAGAAGACACCAGAAGTCTACGATGAACCTGACTGGGAACTGAGTGGAGTAGAATCTATTCATGAATGTTTTTGCATCTTAAAAACCTTCCGAGTTTACAGAGAATTTACTGGTTTGGCCAAAAGCAATTTTACTTTCTCTTGTAGTCAATGAGATAAATATATATGTTTTGGTTACTTTTACTAATAGTTATAAGAATAAGAGTATACAATATTAGCCAGGCATGGTAGTGAGCACCTGTAGTCCCAGCTGCTTGGGAGGCTGAGGTGGGGAGATCGCTTGAGCCCAGGAGTTCAAGGCTGCAGTAAGCTATGAGTGTGACAAGGTACTCCAGCCTGGGTGACAGAGTGAGACCCTATCTCTTAAAACAATATATAGAGAGAGAGCATATTCTGTTATATATACAGACATATATATATACATGTTGCATATTACATTATATATATTGTATATTGCCTACCTATATTACATATTTTTAAAAAATAACAAAGTCCATATTTAGTATATACTGATGAGTCCTTCGTTACTGTTACCAAGTGCATAACTGGTATATCAGTGTACACTAATTCTTCACAAAGACCTTTCTTTCCCTACCTTCACTCTGTCAAAACACCTCCCTGTCCTGTCTATTGTCCACACTGGGCTACCTACAGTATCTAATCTGTTTCTTTTTTGTTATCAAGTAACTATTGCCACTGGTAGTAGATATAATCCACATTCTGCTCAGGTCTTTCAGAATCACTTACTTATTCAATAAGCTTCTTTCTGGTATCCTTGTGCCTTAGTTTCAAATTGCCTACACCTGAAACTGTTAGGTGTCCTTCCCTTGAGCTACAGAAAGCACCTAGCCTCCACCCAAAGATCTGGCCACACTGGAGTTTACATCCCCAGTCCCTACCCCTTGGAGTGCACAGGTACAGGAGTTAGAGTCTGAATGCCCAGTACCCTTGCCTCCAATCGGAAAAAAAATCCCACAGCATGACTTACGCTCCAGGTCTCCCTGCAGCCAGGCTGAGACTGGGACTTTGCTGAAATCTCACCCTGGCTGGACTCTTTTCTTCTCCTGACCTGTTTCTCCCGCTCCCTTATGAGTTTCCCTAAGAGCACTTCCTTAATAAGTCACTTGCAGATGCAGCCACCTCTCAGGGTCTGCTTTGGGGAAATGGGGAACTTGACCTCAGATACCATTCTTTTCTCCTCTCTTGGTTTTTGTTTTTGTTTTTGTTTTTGTTTTTTTTGAGACAGAGTTTTGCTCTTATTGCCCAGGCTGGTGTGCAATGGCGCGATCTCAGCTCACCACAACCTCAAGCGATTCTCCTGCCTCAGCCTCCCGAGTAGCTGGAATTACAGCCATGTGCCACCACGCCCAGCTAATTTTTTGTATTTTTAGTAGAGATGGGGTTTCTCCATGTTTGTCAGGCTGGTCTCGAACTCCTGACCTCAGGTGATCTGCCGGCCTCAGCCTCCCCAAGTGCTGGGATTACAGGCGTGAGCCACCATGCCTGGCCTCTTGGGTTCTTTATTAATAATCTCACTGATAAATGTATCCATTCAATTAACATTCATTCTAGATTTCTAGGCATTCCTTAAATACCTATGGTGGGCCAGGTTCTAAGTTCCTAGGCCCTAGAAACTTACAGTTTATCGAGATTGAAAGGAAAAAAAAGATGGTGTCTTGTTTTTACCCAGCCACCAAACAATCTTTACCTACATTCCCATACCCCAGGTCCTCTTCTTACGATGTGTTACATTTGATTTATAAATGTGCTAAGCAAGGAGGAGGATGGGGTTGGAAAATCTTGACCTCTGCAGAAGTTGTAAGCTGATCAATTCTAAAAACATTTTTTCATACATTAAGTCTGAACCAGAGACACATAAAGGCCCCTGGAAAAATCTAATACAATACTGAGTGCCTTTCAGTGTATTGATTAACTAAATAAATAGAAATGACACTGGGTGCATCAAGTGGTTAAATGACATTAAATTATATAGCTATAATTGGGTTGTATTCTAAGTATTCATTAACAGCAGATCACATTAAGTACCATTGCTATATTGGTAAATTAGAGAGCTGATTTCTTAACCAATAGAAAGAGGGAAGTTAAATAGATATAATATGAATAACAAGAATCTTCATTTATGATATGAAATACAATCATACGTACATAAGATAAAAATGCTAGCAATAAGGTAGTGGACTGGAAGTTATACCATCAGCTTCCCTGGTTCTGAGGCCTTTGAACTCAGACAGAATGACCACACCAGCTTTATTGGTACTCCAGCTTGCAGATGGCCAACGATGCAGATGAGTTTCCTTGGCCTCCAAAAATTGCATGAGCCAATCTCATCATAAATCTCTTTCATATCCTTATATATTCTATTGGTTTTGTTTCTCTGGTGAACCCAAACACAGACCTGATGGTTCTTAAACCCACACACATGATAAAGTAAATATGTTGGACAAAGGGGATGAAGAATTTAAAACATTTCTCTATGTCTATATATTTATCTTTAAATCGTTAAAAAGGCTACTGACTAAAGTAAAAAAAAAAACAGTAAAATATGTTGGATAAATTATTCTTAGAAAAAGTATATATGCTCATAAGAGTACAATGTTTGGGAGACTGGTAATTAGAAGCATACTGTTGTTAGATTTTTACATTTTTAATTAAGAAGCAGAATATTGTTTGAAGATAGAATGTGATAAGTTAAAGATCATATTATACTCTCTAGAGCAACCACTACAAAATAACAAGTAAGGCTTAATGGGAAAGTGGATAGAGGGATTTCCAGTTCTGTCTAAGTAGGGGTAGACTCATTGCAAGCTATTTCTCTCTGTCATAACTGAAAAACTCTGGCCATACTACAGGAAACAAACACAGGAACATTGAAATGTGGACGGAAAAAAATCAACCTGGCTAGGAATTTCAGGACGTTAGAAATGACACCATGTGTACCACATGGTGCACTGGGAAAACCTGTAATCTAGAACCCCCAGCAGGTGACTGGAAATAAGTGTCAAAGCCCCAGGAAAACCTTGATTCCTGGAGTGAAGGGACTGGTACAAGGTTGATGTAGAAGAAATAGAACACCAATTTGGTGATATCATCTCCTGCATTGTGACGTTGTCAATGGGATCTAAGGAGGAGCTGAACTTCTCCTCTCTCCCAGGAGCAATGAGGTGCTACAAGTAACTCCTCCCTTGACCCTTCCTTGGTGTTGACTCAGCCCAGTGGAGAGCTGAGCTTTGGTCCCCACCTGGCAGCAGCAATGGGGCAGAATAAAGCCATGCAAGGTGGTACAACGTAATGCTGGGTGGCTGTCTGCTTCCCCTCATCGCGGGGTGTCAGTGGAGGGACCAATAGGGGCTGAACTTTTACCTTAATGCAACAATAATGAAGTAAAATGAGCAGAGTGAGGCTGTGAGAGTCAGCACTTTGCTTCCATCCACCTCCACTGGTGTTGGCGAAAAAAGAGGGAAATGGAGCTTTTCCCCACACTTGGCAGCAAAGGAGCAGAATGAGACAACAAGAGGAGGTGGTGCTACTCACAGCTCACTCAGAAGGAGTGGAAGTCGCACTGTCACACAGCAACAGCAAGGCTGAATGAGCAGGTAGGAGGTGGTGCCAGTGGACAGGTTACTTCCCCCCTGCCTCCTGTGTGGATGTCACCCATTGGAGAGCTGGGTTTCTGCCCCCACCTGGCCCAGTGAGGCAGTGGGAAGCTGTTGACACATTGATGTCAACAGAGGTAAACATCTACCCCAATCTGCCTCTGCACACTTCACTTAAACAGGAAAGAGAAAGAAAGAAGGAAGGAAAGAAGGAAAGAAAGAAAGAAAAGAAAGAAAGAAAGAAAGATCATCCAAAGTCTCACAACATACTATGTAAAATATCCCATATACATTTGAAAATTACTCATTATACCAAGAACCAGGACAACCTCAACTTGAATGAGAAAAGATTAACAACAGATGCCAACACAGAGAAAACACGTATGTTGGAATTGTCTGTCAAAAACTTTAAAGCAGCCATCTAAAAAATGCCTCAAGGAGCAATGAGGAACAGGCTTAAAATAAAGGAAAGAAAAAGAAAACCTCTCAGCAAAGAAACTGAAGATATAAATAAGAACCAAATGGAATTTTTGGAACTGAAAAATACAATATCCGAACAGAATGGGTTCAATAGCAAATGAATATAGCAAAAGAATCAGTGGGGTTTTTTAATTAAAAAAATAAAATTAACAATGTGAACAACATAAAATAAACTGAAAAGATATGAATGGAACCACAAAGATCTGTTGGACAATAACAAAAAATCTAATACGAATATTGTCAAAGTTACAGGAGAGGAAAAGGGGTGTATAGGACTGAAAAAGCATTTAAAGATATAATGCTAAAAAGTTTCCAAATTTGGCAACATATATAAAACCGCAGATTTAAGAAGTTTGTGAAAGGTGTAAAGTTTGTGTATAGACTCATTTTTATTTGCATGTGGATGTAGATTAATGTTTATAGTATCTTTGTTCTTAATAGCTATAAACTAGAAACTAATTCATAGGTCAAAAAGAAGTCTCGAAGGAAATGAAACAGAACAAAATAAAATAGAACTAAATAAAAATAAAAATATAACAAAAATTTGTGGGATGCAGCTAATGCAGTAATGAAAGGGAAATTTATTGCATTAAATGCTTATATTACAGAAATGTTCTAAGAAATGAATCTAAGCTTCCATCTTTAGAAACTAGAAAATAAGAGCAAAATAAACACAAAGCATGAAGAAACAAAGAAATGACAAATATTAGAGTATAAATCAGTGACATAGAAAACAGAAAAACAGAGAAAATTACTAAGACACAAAACTGTTCTTTGAAAATATTAAAAAATGTCTGTTTAGGTATAAATCTAGCAAAACATGTACAAAATCTGTATGCTGAATACTACAAAACATGGTGGGAGAAATAAAAGAACATAAAAAAATGGAGCTGGGTACAGTAGTTCACACCTGTAATCCCAACACTTTGGAAGGTCAAGATTGGATAATTGCTTGAAAGTAGGTGTTTGAGGCCAACCTGGCCAACATAGTGAGACCCTGTCTCTATTTTTAAAATTGAAGAGGTATAACACATACATGGATTAAAAAACTCAACATAATACGTCAATTCTATTCCATACTTACGTACTGGTTTAATACAATTCCTATTGTATTTCCAGTAAAGCTGTTTTTTAGATATAGGCAAGCTTATTTGAAAAAATTTAGAACTAATTAGAATTAGTTATTAGAATAATTAGATTAGTAATTAGAATTACTAATTAGAATAACTATAACAATTTTGGAAAAAGAAGAAAGTGAGAGGAATTAATTGACCAGATGTCAAAACTTAGTATATAGTTACATTAATCAAAACATTGTAGTACTGGGGAACTGATAGACCCATAGAGCAATGAAATAGAATAGAGAATCCATAAACAGACTGACACAGATATGATCAATCAACTGACATTTGTCAAATGTGCACAAGCAATTTTGTGGAAGGAGGACAATGTTTTCCAAAAATGGTATTGGAACAACTGGACATCCATGGGGGCCAGAGGAAGGAAGCCTGGATCTAAGCTTCCCACCTTGTACAAAAATTAACTCAAAATAGATTATATGTTTAAATGTAAAGCATTAAAAATATCAAACCTTTAGAAGAAAACACAGGAGAAAATATTTGGGACCTAAGGTTTGGTAAAGAGTTCTTAAATACGACACCAAAACCATGAGGCATAAATTAAATCAATTAGCTACATGTAATCAAAAATAAAACTTTAGTTCTAGAACATAGTGTGTTATGAGAATAAAAAGACTACAAACTACAGAATTAAGCATTTGCTAACTGCATATCTGACAAATAACTTATACTTAAAATATATAAAAGAACTTTCAAAATGCAACAGTAAGATATTATTTAAAAGGTCCAATTAGAAAATAGGTGAAATGAACAGACATTTTACCAAAGAGGATATTTAAATGTAAATTCAGCACATGAAAATATCTTCAACATAATTAGCCATTAGATAAATGCAAATTAAGACCACGATGAGGTATCACAACTATTGGAACAGCTAAAAAAATTTTTTTAAGTTACATTACCAAATGCTAGTAAAGCTATGAAAAATCTAATTTCTTATACATTGCTGGTAGGAATGTAAAATGGCTCAGCTACTTTGGAAAATAGTTTAGCAGTTTTTTTAAAAAAATTAACTACACATATACATTCCATGAAACCCAACAATTTCACTCCTAGGCATTTATTACAGAGAAATAAAACTTATGTCTATATACAAGTGGCCTATTAGCCAAAAGCTAAAAACTGTCCAAAGACCTTCAAAGAGTGAATAGTTTAAACAATTGTGGTACATCCATGCAATAGAATATCACTCAAAAATTTAAAAAAAAAAAAATTGGCTAGCAATAATACAAAAATTTGAATGAATCATAAAGAAATTGTTCTGAATTTAAAAAGCTAATCCCAAAAGATTACCCACTGAACGACTTAATTTATATAACATTCTTGAAAGGGCAAAATTATTGAGATGTAGGACACAGTAGTGATGGTCAGGGCTTGGGTATGTGGGGAAAAGGAGACACGTCTGGTTGTAAACAGATATCATGGAGGATCTTTGTGGTAATGGAGCAATTTCTCTATTGAATGTGATGGGTTACATGAACGTACACATGTGCTAAAGTTGCAGAAGACTACACACACACACGTGTGCACACACAAAGTGCATATAAAACTGGTAAGATCCAGATAAGATCTGCGGATTGTACCAATGTTGACATTGTGGATCTGATATCATATTCTAGTTACATAAAGATGTTCTTATTGGGAGGAGCGAGGTTACTGTTACAGGGAATCCATTTACTACTTTTGCAACTTCCCATGAATCTATAATTATTTCAAAATTTTTAAAAATTCAAAAGAGTACATAAAGTAAAATATTAAAACAAACAGTAAAACTTCATCTATGACAAGTGAGGAAAGAGATAACACAGGAACAAATAGCAGAACAAACTGAAACCAAACAAAATGGTAGACTTAAACACAAGTACGGCAATAACAGATGTATTATCAAGTTGTGATGTATTGTGGAATACTATCCAGCAACAGGAAGAGCAACATTTGATATCTCCGACAACAGCGATGGATGGATCTCAAAAGATTTGTGCTGTGTGAAAAAAATTAACTGCAAGATACACAGAGCACTGAGGCTATGATACCCCTTATTTGAGGCTTGAATCCAGACCAAACAAATCTAGGGCAATACAAGTTAGAAAGTGGCTGCCTGGGGAAGGGTATATTTGGCTGGAAATGGGCAAAAGGGAGCTTTCTAGAATGACAGAAACAATCAGTGCTTTGGGAGGTGTGTGGGTAACACAAGTGTACACTTTTGTCAAAATTCATCAAACTGTACACTAAATATGAGCGCATTTCTATAGATACAAAATTATTTCTTAATTTTAAAATGTCTTTTTTTTTTCTTTTTTGAGATGGAGTTTTGCTCTGTTGCCCAGGCTAGAGTGCTGTGGTGCGATCTCGGTTCACTGCAACCTCAGCCTCCCGGGTTCAAGCAATTCTCCTGCCTCAGCCTCCCTAGTAGCTGGGACTACAGGCACCCACCACCACGCCCGGCTAATTTTTTGTATTTTTAGTAGAGATGGTTTCACCGTGTTGACCAAGATGGTCTGGATCTGCTTACCTGGTAATCCGCCTGCCTCCGCCTCCCAAAGTGCTGGGATTACAGGTGTGAGCTACTGTACCCAGCTAAAATGTTCTTTAAAAAGAACTTTACTTTTTATTTTCCCACATCCAAATGAATTACTTAGTGTACTTCCTGGGAAGCACACACTCCCTGTGGAGATAACTGGGCAGAGCAGTGATATGATACAAGGCTTGCAGGTGCTTGGGAACTGTAGATCCAGAGGGCTGGACATCCATTCTCACATGACTATGAATTGGCTAGATGTCATTCAAATAGTCTGCCTTGTTTTAACCTCCACATTTTACTTTATTATTATTATTATTATTATTTTGGGACAGAGTCTCTCTCTGCCGCCCAGGCTGGAGTGCAGTGGTGCGATCTCGGCTCACTGCAACCTCGGGCTCCCAGGTTCAAGAGATTCTCCTGCCTCAGCCTCCCGAGTAGGTGGGGATTACAGGCACATGCCACCATGCCCAGCTAATTTTTTATATTTTTAGTAGAGACGGGGTTTCACCGTGTTAGCCAGAATGGTCTCGAACTCCTGACCTTGTGATCTGCCCACCTCAGCCTCCCAAAGTGCTGAGATTACAGGCGTGAGCCACTGCGCCTGGCCTCAATTTATTATTTTTTTGAGACAGAGTCTCCCTATGTCTGCCAGGCTAGAGTGCAGTGGTCATCATGGCTCACTGCAGCCTCCAACTCCTGGGCTTAAAGGATCTTCCCACCTGTGCCTCCCAAGTAGCTAGGAGTACAGGTGTGCACCCCCATGCCTGGCTAATTTTTTTTTTTTTTTTTTTTTTAGAAAGATGGGGTCTTGCTATGTTGCCTAGGCTGGACTCAAACTCTTGGCCTTAAGTCATGCTCCTGCTTTGGTCTCTCAATGCGCTGGGATTACAGGCATGAGCCACCATGCACAGCCACAACATTTTAAAGAAAAGATACAAAATGGAATCCCTAAACTGTATTTAACCAAAGGAATGGAGATTTCACATTCGTTTGGAGGAGCAGTATATGGAGAATGCTGACAAATTCTTCTCCATCTTCTCACGAGGAAAAATAACATAAAAGAGCCTCAGATCACTGCATTGAAAGCTTCAGTTCGATTTTAGGAAACATTTGACTAATCTACAAGGATAAAAATCTAGTTAAAAACACATATCTATGAAAATAAGCAAATACACTTTACACAAAACTTATAAAGTTACACGTATCTGGTTAAAGACATCCTCTGAGCTGCCACCTTTAATGCCTTGAGATTTGTTTTCCATCATTTTAACAGTTGGGGCTGCACAATGTTTTGTCTTACATTTATCTAGCGTGAGCTGTTCTTTGAAAGTGATCTGGATGGTAAACATTGGTTGGGATATTCCATTTCTCTCCTCCAATATGTTTTTATTGGACCTGATTTGGAAGGCTAGAAACAAGTTCAACCAAACACTAAAGTGGACACAGCGTAATGTCGCCAGCAGCATTTATAGAGATATTTCAAAAGAGTCTTGTTTTCTGAGAATGTTTAAAAATCAATTAATTGTGGCCGGGCACAGTGGCTAAAGCCTGTAATCCCAGCACTTTGGGAGGCCAAGGTTGGCGGATCACCTGAGATCAGGAGTTCGAGACCAGCATGGCCAAGATGGTGAAACACCGTCTCTACTAAAAATACAAAATCAGCTGGGTGTGGTGGCACATGCCTGTAATCCCAGCTACTCAGGAGGCTGAGGCAGGAGAATTGCTTGAAACCGGGAGGTGGAGATTGCAGTGAGCTGAGATTGCACCATTGCACTCCAGCCTGGGAGACAGAGCGAGACTCTGTCTCAGAAAAAAATTGAAATTAAAATTAAAAAAAAAATCAATTCTGGAGGCTGAGGCAGGAGACTTGCTAGAACCTGGGAAGCGGAGGTTGCAGTGAGTCGAGATCACGCCACTGCCTTCTAGCCTGGGCGACAGAGCAAGACTCAGTCTCTAACCAAAAAAAAAAAAAAAAAAAAAAAAAAATCAATTAAATGTGGAAAACAAAGTAGTCCCAGAAATGTCATTCTGCCTGACTCATATTACATCATAGAAGCAGTAACTATGTCAAGAAGCAGTTTAAATCAAGCTCAAGATAAAATATGCCTAAGATTTCAAAAAACACAAATATGGCAATTTAGGTGTGTGTCACCATACTTCCACAGGTTTTGTCAAACCCTGGGCATTTTTCGCGTGTCAGCTTTCAATTTGTTGCCATCTTCTGTGTCTTAGAAATAAGAATCAGTGTTATACTCTTTTTTTAAATGTGTTTTTTCACATCATGGTCAGTTGCGGTAATTGCCCCTGGTCTATTAAAGCGAATAAATAACCAACCATGCAAGTACATTTATTAAACAGATGTGCATAATCCAGCAACAACTCCCTGCTGATGAATCTGAAATGAAAACACAGATCCTGCCTTCATGGATATTAATGTCTTGCAGGAGTTTAGTACATGTTGATTGCAAGAGAGTAAATAGAGAACTAGGTTGGCCCGGCGCGATGGCTCACGCCTGTAATCCCACCACTTTGGGAGGCCGAGGTGGGTGGATCACCTGAGGTCAGGAGTTTGAGACCAGCCTGGCCAACACGGTGAAACCCCATCTCTACTAAAAATATAAAAATTAGCTGGGCATAGTGGCAGCTGCCTGTAATCCCAGCTACTCGGGAGGCTGAGGCAGGAGAATCGCTCGAACCCAGGAGGTGGAGGTTTCAGTGAGCAGAGATCACACCACTGCACTCTGGCCTGGGTGACAGAGCAAGAATCAGTCTCAAAAAAAAAAAAAAAAAAAAAAAACTAGGTTTACAAAGTGGGGAAGGATGAAAGAGAACTACCACTTACTGTGTATCTATAATCCCTATGACCTGTGCTGAAAACCTTTCTATATCATCCCATTTAATTTTCTAGCTTCACCTTCATCTCCACTCTCCACCTCTAAGTAAAGGAACTCAGGAAATTTAAACCAGCTGTTCAAAGGCACATGCCCTATGAATAAAGCCACAGTTCTACTTAATTAGACTGCCACCTGATGATAGTATAATTATTTGAATTATTTAAGGGTGACTACAAAAGTGGAGTAAAATTCAAGTTCCTTTAAATCCCATTGTTTTCGTTGTTCATATTTGTGTGTCAATAGCTCTTTATCGTCAAGATTTCCACTAGCAAAATACATATGCCACTTCCTCCGGGAAGCCCTCCTGACATCTCACACAGGCACAAATCCTTCGATGATATGCTCTACTCATGCCAAGTATCTTTCCCTTATGCCACTCACTATTTGAATATTTTCTTTCTCTCGATTATAAGAATGGGGGTGATGCAGGAAGTACACTGCCTAACCCAATAATTTTAATTATGAACATCTGATTTAATAATTTTGAATGGCTGATTTAAATTCCTGAGTTTCTTTAATCACAGGTGAAGGCTGGAGATGAGGGTGGTGTTGAAGATCAAATGTGAGGATGTATAAAGGCTTTAGCACAGGACACAGGGATTATAGATAGACAGTATCCCAATACATTCAAGCTTACTATTGAGTGGGTAGTCAATAGTAAGCTTGGAATTATTGAATGAATAAATATTTTAAGGGGCCCTCAGTGGGAAAATAAAGTGTCATAGGCCCAAAGCTGATGGCAAATTGTGAGTAAAATCCCCTAAGGGGTATTATTTAACAGAGAAAGGGGTTCAGGAGATGAAAGATGCTTTCTTTTCATATTCAACAGAGCTGAATATTTTTGGATATTAATCTATGTTTACTTTTGCCATTGTGGAGACAAAAGCAACTTCATCTTGGGTGCTAATCTACCATGTTAACCTCTGATGAGCGCCAGTCCCATGAATGCCTCCTGATTCCTACTTTATTTACTGTCCCTAGGGTAAGAACATGGATCAGAGTAACACTGATGTTGTTGCATAAATTATAGACAATGATGCATATAGCATTCTTACCTGTTCTGGAAGGTTGCCTTTCATTGTCTTGCTGGAGCACGTAAACCCTTTCCCTACAGTAGATAAGCCCTGAGTGTAGGAAGGAACAGTGCAGAAATCTACCTGTCTTACAGCTACCCAAGACCATGCTTCTGTCTGTAAGTTCTCTTCATAAATCACCCAATACCAACACACTAGATTAGTCTGCCTCCTTCATTGGTTTCTCAGCTCCTTTAGCATTTGTGGGTTGCTATGCACATATGGGCCTTTCACAAATAAGTCATATGTTTCTTATTTCCTTTCTCCCAAGTAAAGAGGTAACAGTGCTGTCAAACAGTTTCTCCATAGCTTGGAGGAGATAAGAAGCAGGGCCCAATGCAGAAATTTACTCTAATACTTCCTGGATTTTGTTTTGCAAAAATCCCTTTGAGCCATGTAAGGTAGAGGAAGGAGACAGAAACAATTGAGCAAAGTATGAAGAAGAAAGAAGCTGCCTCCTGTTCACATAGGGAGAGGTCTGTGGGTCTTAACCTGTGAGGTCTAGCAAACCTGACCTCACTCCTTGACAAGGCTGAAATGAAGAACCACTCTGAGATCCTCTAAAGAGAGGGAATCCCAGGACCCCCAGGCTCTCCAGGGTTCTAGTCCTCAGAAGAGCACACCAAGCTCCAAGGTTACATTGTGGGCATAGACAATGAAGATGCTTTGTCAATGGAACACTTGCTTTCTTAACAGCTCCCTGTCCTCCAAAAGAAATGTTTCCCCTGGTATTCCCAATTTTGCCACCTGCTCAGTAACAATGATGAAAATCTAGGAGTCATTCTGGACTCCCCCCCTCAGGCCAACACTGGCCACTCTCCAATCACCTGGAAAGTGGCCCTGTCTTGTTGCCCTGTCCAATGCATTTCCGTTCACTTTTGCCATCTTCACTTCTTCTGCCCTGGACAAACCACTCTCTATCTTCTCTACTGTAGCTTCTTTTTTTTTTTTTTTTTTTTTTTTTTTTTTTTTTTTTGAAAAGGAGTCTCGCTCTGTCGCCCAGGCTGGAGTGCAGTGGCGGGATCTCGGCTCACTGCAAGCTCCGCCTCCCGGGTTCACGCCATTCTCCTGCCTCAGCCTCCCAAGTAGCTGGGACTACAGGCGCCCGCCACTACGCCCGGCTAATTTTTTGTATTTTTAGTAGAGACGGGGTTTCACCGTTTTAGCCGGGATGGTCTCGATCTCCTGACCTCGTGATCCGCCCGCCTCGGCCTCCCAAAGTGCTGGGATTACAGGCGTGAGCCACCGCGCCCGGCCCTCTACTGTAGCTTCTTATCTTCTCCCATGCTGGCCTTCCTTCAGTCTTTTCTATGTAATACATATGACTGATTTTTTGTTTGTTTTTGTTTGTTTTTAAGAGACAGGATCTTGCTCTGTCACCCAGGCTGGAGTACAGTAGCACAATCATAGCTCACTATAGCCTCAAACATCTGGACTCAAACCATCCTCCTGACTCAGCCCCTGAGTAGCTGGGACCACAGGCACACATTCCCACGTCCACTAATGTATTTTTATTTTGTATGGTGATGGGATCTCACTGTGTTGCCCAGGGTGGCCTTGAACTCTTGGCCTCAAGTGATCCTCCCACCTCAGCCTCCTGAAGTACTGGGATTACAGGTGTGAGCCACTGTGTCCGGCCTATGTTATTGCTTAATTTAAATCAGTTCAAAGTCACCCCCATTTTAAAACTTCTCACTTCTATCCCCGCCTGCTTCTCCACACTCGCCCTGGGGCCCTCTCACTCTCATCCTATTTGCATCCCTGTTTTTCATTCAGGCTGTGTCATGTTCTCTCCCCTCTGTCTGAGACGGTTTGCCTTTCATCTCTCTCCTTATGCAGCGTCCATCTCTAACTTAGCATCTTCAGGGAGCTTTTTTCTAGCTGTCCCAGGAAATCCAGTCTGTGTTCCACTTGACAAGACATCAGTGTACCACAATTGCTGTTTATAAAGTTTCATGATGTGCCATTTGGGCCATCCGAACTAAAACTGAGAAAAGAGAAATTGAGTGACTCTCTTAAAGTTAACCAGTTATTTGGTGCCAGAAGTTAGATTCACTGTCTAGGAAAATTTGCAATCTAAAGTTCTATGCTATATGCTAATGGGTTCTAAAATGATTTGTTGAAAAAATAAAAAATATGAATGTCGGCAGAAAGCATGGTGAACTGGAAATTTCATCCATTTCCCCATATATGGGCTCCATATTGGCTTCCTACAGCCTGACTTTTTATAGGGAGAGTAAGCCACAATAGTATCTAAGAAAAGATGTCCTTGGAAAATGGTATGATATGTTGTCAGAGTCATATTAGCTTTATTTAAAGTAAATAACAAAAGTAATGTCTTTTTTTAAAAAAGACTTGAGTTTGTGGACTGAGATTCCGATCATTTCCTCGTGCATTTTCTGGCAACATCTTATTCATTATTAGCATTGGGATTCCCAAGTTACACCCATGCTATTATTCTTCATTTACCTCCCAAGTTTGTCCACATTTTTGTCATTTTTCAGATGCATGATGTTAGACAGTTTAAATATGTGCATAAATAGAAAAGTACATTTCTGACAAAGTTGAACCGAAAAATGGATTGAAAAATCCTCTTATCCCAAAGCTGCAGAATCTTGTGCAGTTTGGTAAAGAAGTCCCGCATGGTCTGGTAAGTGGTGTGCAAGTGCTTTTTCGACGTTTTTTATTTCTCTAGAATCGTCTTTGAAGTGGTGCTTTAGGGATCATAAATAACTTCCGCTGTCCCTGCAAAGGGCAGGATTAAGGCCCCATTATTAGGAGGAAATGGAGGCTTAGGCAGTTGCAGCAAATTATATGAGGCTTTGGCCAAGTGGCAGTGAAAATTACCTTGTCTGGTTTATAGTGGCTTTTCTTGGGCATGAAAATAATTGGGAATGGCTAAAAGTACCTAATAGTTTGACAAAGTTTCTTTCTAGGAAACTAATTCAACTCTTAAGCCACATCATATTCTTAAAGAGCCTTTTTTTCTGGTTACGTTCCAATTCCTGCCTCAAGAGTCAACACAATGTTCCAGAAATTAATTTCATTCTCATAATTCCTGCTCATTGTATAGTTACAATGGTACATAAATGGTGTATATTGGCAGTCTGGATACTTTCTGGTGTCATGTACACATCCTCGCTGAGTTCTACATGTCATGTCAACACAACTTTTATTGTACAAAGCATTCATGATTTTTTCCCTTTATTTTTGTCTCCCTCTACTCCACTTGAGAAATAATCGGGGTAGCTGGGAGCATGTCCAGGCAAATTAGCTAATGTTGCAGTTAATTTCCAATCATAAAGTCGATAATTTTCCCTTTCATTCCAGTTGAAGTAATTCATGATGAATATGAATTCTCTCATGAGTCTTTTTTAAAAGCCATGTTGCTAGGTGGTCCCTGTGTGAAGGGGGATGGTGGCGGCAGTGACATCAGTATTCTAATGGTTGTAGAAAGTTACCTTTATGCTTACTTAGTGCTCCAACAAATGTATGTTATTTGCCCATTTGATTTTGCCACTTCTTTGTCTACTTCTGGTTATTCTTTGGTTAGGCAAGCACATCTTGGGACTTATTCCATGAATCACCAACATTTCTGCCCATTTTGCAGTTAACCTTATGATACTTATGAAACGAGGAATTCAATTGCTGATCAAGAAATTGCATCCAATTAATTATTCAGAGAAGGCCTTCCTATATAATCACTATGATTTTCCAGGTGGAAGATAGCCCTCTTTTGTGGAGCTCTTCTGCCCTATACAGACTCCTGTCTCTCCCATTATTGATTTTATAAGTTTACACAGCTATAATTCACTATTGTCTTTGGTCAAAGGAAAAATAATATACTGTTACAATAACTGTTGAACGGCACTTGTTAAAATTCATAAATCATTCTTTTTTTTTTTTAAGAAACAGTTTCTTGCTCCGTCACCCAAGCTAGACTGCAGTGGCCCAATCATAACTCACTGCAGCCTCAAACTCCCAGGCTCAAGTGCTTCTCCTACCCCACCCTTCTGAGTAGCTAGGACTATAGGTGTAGGCCACCTTGCCCAGTTAATTGTTTTATGTTTTTGTAAAGATGGGGTCTTGCTATGTTGCCCAGGCTGGTCTGTGAACTCCTAGCCTCAAGCTAGGCCTCAAGGGGGCCTCCCACCTTGGCCTCCCAAACATTGTGATTACAAGTGTGAGCCACTGTGCCCAGACCCATTCTTAATTTTAAGAAGATTTACATATTAAAATAGGGGTAGTTTATCTTAAGGTGATTCCTTAAAAAGTTATCAAGTGCAATAAGTATTCAGTATATTTACTGATATCATTTTATTTACACTTGGGAGCTAGAACCAAAGATTGGTATTTTACACTATAATTTCTGGTGATTTCGGGCATTGAATTTAAAAAGTTTGGAAGAAAAATAGACAAATTTGCCATCATGTTCAAAGGATGTCTTGATGCTGAAAACATGCAAGGCAATCTCCTAAAAAAGGAATTAGAAAGTATAAAAGTTTTGTAAGATGATGAAATTGCTTCAAAATAATAAGGCCAAATTAATAATTTATCTACATTAATAAAATAACCAGTAGGAAAATATAATGCAAAAATAATAAATCTGCAATAGAAAAACTAATTCCAGAATTAAGTCAAGCTAATTCTCCTTTTTCTTTTTGGCAGTTTGTTGATGGACAACTTTTTAAAGTTTGATACACAGTTTGAGGTGATTTCGTTTGTACTTCAAGTTTGAGGATCTTCATATTTATATCAGCCATACCACACCAAGAAAAGTATTTTGACATTTTATTTGCTTGCAAGAGCTCTTACTGATTTGGGGCAAAACGGATGGGTTACAGTAGGCAGATACAGGCAACTGAAAATGATAGAGTCTACAAAACTATGAGTCTTAAACATATGTTCATGCATATATTCAAAGCCAGTTTATTCTTGCAATTTCTTCTTTGTCCTGAGTAATATATGATTTTTGTGCTGTTTTTTAGTTTTTTTTCTCTTGTAAGTCAACTTCTGATGCACAATTCTTTGAAATATACGACATATTAGAACAAATTTCAAAAGAGCCCTGTGTGACATGCCAGAGCCATGGAGCCTGATTAGAACTGGAGTTGGAATCATTTGTGGCACTGGATATAATTTAAGACACCATGTTGTTCCTTAGGAGGAAGCCTTATTTATAACAGCAGTACCATGCTGCACAACAGATGCCAGTGGAAAGTGAAACGATGATGAAATTAATTTGACCTTTCTTAAGCCTGCAGAACATAAATCAGATCTATTTAATAAAGATCAAGTTTGCAAGAAATAACTTCAACTGCAGATGTGTAAATGCTTCAATGAAAGAAATGATGGCAACATTTGTACAGTTCTGAATATAGTTTAAATTAGACAAAAATGATGAAAAAATGTAGTTCAGAGATGTGCAACTTTTCTTCATTAAATGTATGTGGCATACTAAGAAATTTGGTCATTCCACTGCACTTTTCAGACCATTAAGCACAGTACAGGTATCAATCTGTTGTGTATCTAACAAAAACTTAATTTTTGATGCCTAATTAGGACAACTGCATTAAGTAATATTTTGATATTTATTAGGGAATGATTTTGTTATCAAATCCCCTTTAAATCTATGATCTAATTTTTAATAAGTTCCTGGGGGTTTGGAAATCTTCATATATAAAAAATGATTGAGCAATTCTTCCTCAAAATAAAAGCAAGATGATTGAAGTTTTTCTGGCTAGGACAGAGGGCAAGAGTTTATTCTGAAGACAGAGATTTTTAAGATTAAAGTCAGGTTTGGCAGGAAGCCTGCTTTATTTTAATAAAAGAATGGACAGGGGCCAAATTCATTACTATTGGAATACCTAGCAGCCCCTGAACATATAAGTAAAAGTAGAAAGAGAGCACATGCAATTTAGTTTGCCAAGATCGGGATAGAAAGGAACTGAATTCATTCATTCATTCATTCATTCATTCATTCATTCCTCCATTCATTCATTCATTCATTCATTCCTCCATTCATTCAAACACCAATCCCTACTATGTGACAGGTTCTGGGAAAGTAAAATGAGTCAGAAGCAAATATTGCTTTCAGAGTGCTCTCATCAGATTGATTGCAACGATTTGTTTACATCCAATCTCTTTCAAATGGCTAAATGCTGTGATCATGGCACGTACAAAATTCCAGGGAGCACAATACTACCTCAGGAGGATCAAGAATAGCTGTTTCAAGGACCTGAGTGGAGTCTTTGAATACAGACAGGAATTCAAAAGGCTGAGCAGGGGAGAATGCATGTTTCAGGCCAAGGAAAAAGAATGAGCTAAAGGTGCAGAACAGAGAGTGAGTGTGAAGGAACCTCGATGCCATGCAGTGGAGATCGAATTCTATCCCAATTAATGAAGATTTCTTTTTTAATGAATTAAGCCAGAAGAGTAATAGGGCTATGATTGCCTTACAGAAAGGTAAGTCTGATTGGAATGGGATTCTCAAGATGGCGTGGGGTGCGCAAGCGTGTGAGTCTTCGAATCAGGGAGGCCTTTTAGAAGGCTGTTGTAGGGAATCAGAAGGGCTGAGGCATCTGGATTAGGACAATGGCAATGGCAGTCAAGAAGGAAATACGGATTCAAGTGACATTCAGGAGGTGTGATTAATGGGATTTGTCTCTTTATATGGGAAATCAAGACAGAATTAAACACCATTTATATTAAAATATTTGGGTTGGGGATGCCTGAAGGAAATCTAGTACAATGTCCAGGAGGCTTCAGAGAAATGAAGGACTTGAAACCAGCCTGAGCAATATAGCAAGACCCTGTCTCCACAAAAAATACAAAAATTAGCCTGGCATGGTGGCACATGCCTGTAGTCCCAGCCACTCAGGAAGCTGAAGTGGGAGGGTAACCTGAGCTTGGGGAGGTCAAGGCTGCAGTAAGCCATGATCTCACCACTGCTTTCCAGCCTGGAAGACAGAGTGAGACCAGTCTCAAAAATAAAATAAAATGAGAAGAGAAGAGAAAAAAGAAAAGAGAAGACAAGACTGATTGGAAAATATGTGGTCCAGAGATACAATTTATAACTCATTGGCTGTATTAGTCTGTTCTCACACTAATAAAGACATACCCAAGACTGGGTAATTTATGAAGGAAAGAGGTTTAATGGACTCACAGTTCCACATGGCTGGAGAGGCCTCACAATCATGGTGGAAGGCAAAGGAGAAGCAAAAGCACACCTCACACAGCGGCCAGCAAGAGAACTTGCGAGAGGAAATCTCATTTATAAAACCATCAGCTCTCGTGAGACTTATTCTCTACCACGAGAACAGTATGGAGGAAGCAGCTCCTATGATTCAATTATCTCCACCTGTCACCACCCTTGACACCTGAGGATTATTACAATTCAAGGTGAGATTTCTGTGGGGCCACAAAGCCAAACCATATTATTGGCATAATAGCCTTGTTGAAGCCCACAGAGCAGATAAGGTGGCTAAAAAATGGACACAGTATAGTAAAAGAGGAGTATAAAGAAGCCATAAGGAGCAACATAAAGATTTGGTTGGAGGGGCTGAGAATTGTGGCTGGAAGGAAAGGTCAGCGTGGCAGTGAAAGAAGGAACTCACAGGACAGAACAAACTCACAGGGCACCTCCCTTGCATCAGGCAGGGGCTAGGCGTTTTCAGAGTCTCTCATTATTATTCCCAACCTTTGACATAATCTTCACAACATTATGCCCGCTTTACAGATGATGAGAGTGAAACCCAAAGGGACTAAGTAACTGCTCCAGCTCTTGAAACTATTAAGTGGCAGAAACTAGATTTGAATCCAGATTATTCTGGTTTGAAAAGACTGCTGTCCTTTGGGAGTAAAATTAAATGCAGTATGCATGTTTGTGGGATGGGTGAAAATGGTCCATCTTCTCTAATGGACCTGTTGCCTGTGTTAAATACATTTTGTGATGCTCAAGTATGATCATTACAGATGGAGATGCTCCTAAAATACTCTAGCTGTTTTCCCCTCTGCCACACTCACATTTAGTCTTCAAAATTGGTCTTGAATTAAGTTTTGGTATGCTCTAAATTACTTCTATTGTAACTGTATGGTGGTAAAATCCACAGGGCTATGAACATATTGCTGGGAAATAAGAAAGTGATTTTAAAGAATAGAGGAAGTTTCAACCGGGAAGGACATTCCTAGGAGAGGAGGGAAGCAGCAAGTGATTTTGTTGACAAGGGAAAATGAGGGAATGTCAGAGTGTAGCCCACCTGAACACTGCCCAAAGTGTCACCCACCCTCATGCACAGGGCCTGGCCTTCCACTCCTCATTGAGTCAGTGGGTCCTCCAGGAAACTCCAAGGAGCAGAAAGTAGCCCACACAAACCTCTCTGCAGTCTCTTGCACAGCTCTTAGATCAGTTTCTAGTGAGGCAGCCATTCTCTCTAAATTTGTTTCTACCACTGGAAACTGGGGAGATAGAGAGGACTTGCTCCCCACTAGAGTAATCCCCAGAATGCTGGGGAAACTAGAACAACTAACTAATAATCCAAATTAACTTGAATCCAGATTTCAAAACCTGTCAGCAGTGAACACGTTTTGGATATAGGGAACAACTCAGATAATTTTGGATACATATATTATATTAACTGTGACCTGAGAACTGTTTATTATGTGGTTCAGGTGTCACCACAATATCTGCACAGCCAAGCCACCACTTGGCTGGACCTTGGCTTAGTAGCAGCTGAATCCTCCTCTGAAGCTGAGCAGTTTTGCTTCTAATACCATGTCCTCTTAACACTGTTGTATATATCTTAGGTCCTTCAGGTTATAACAACAAGAAACTGGATAGTTTACAAATCTAGATGAGACCATTAAGATAATGGGGAAAGAGACTTCTCCATGCAGTTTACGACTAACGCTTATATGCTTCCGATTTTTAAATGTCCAAGTCCACATTCTAGTTTATGGGATAGAAGGTTACTATAAATCTTGCTCCTGAAGAGTTTGACTTTGGTATTTTATTTTATAAAGCATCATCTGAAAATGCCTGTGCTACTTACTTAAGCTATTTCAAAAACAAACAAAATAAAAGTTAATTATTATTGTGATTTAACCTGATATTTTTCATAACCGATTGTCTTTGACAGTTTGTTCTGTTATGTAAGTGCCACAAATAGCAGAGAAGCTAAAATATTTGTCAACAATAATATGTTCAATTTCTCAAACATTGTGTACTAAAACTCCATTATTCCAGGCATTATTAGCTGGAACTGTTGATGACAATGTCAAATATTGCACTTTTTAAAAAATATAAAGTGTATAGTAACGCTCCTATCCCCGTTCATTTTTCTTTCAATATCTTCATCATTTTGGAAGGATCACGCTTTGAACAAGCAGCAGATGTTAATATGGAAATATAGAACATCTCAATTTTCTCACTGCTAACTCAGCTTACTGAGCCAATTTCACAATTCTCACATTCTTGAGTCCTAGGAGAAAATGCTAATTTAGATTGTTAAAATTGACATGGGTTAGGGTATAAAGGGTAATTAGCATAAAATCCCACACAAAGTGTTCTTAGCACCATTGATCAACACCCACCTAGGCATACACTTTTTTAGTCAGTGCTGATGTTTAACGGAGCTGAAGAATATCTAAAATATTCTCTTCTAGTTAAGTAATAAGAAATGCAGAGTTTGTCCTCAAACGGAGTCTGAGGGTTTTTAGGGAAAAAATACCTAACATGCAGCTCAAGCATAACTTGCATTTCACACTTAAGAATTATTTAAAGCATATAAAAGGATTCTCTTGAGGAATACGCCTCTTAAACACTTGTGTTTCTGACTCACTTGTCTCGGCGCTGTGCTATACATGTGTTGTTATTGCTAAAGACACTGATCTGTTTTCTCTTTCCTCCCTCGTCACTTGCAAAGGCTGTTGCCTTTGGCAACATTGTTCCCACTCTCAGTACAGGACCCTGTGGGTGTCAATGCTGCTTTCTTTCACCACCCCTAAACCCAAATAAGCCACGCAGGTCTAAATCTGCTCAAGACAGAGGTGTTCTTAGTACCTACTGTATTAAAGCTTCTTTTTGTTTTTCCTCTCCTCGCTAATGAACTAGAGGCAAGGCATCTGTCTTCTACTTAGATGAATGATTCAAAGTCACTCAACTTTTTGTCTTCCCCTTAGTTTCCTCACTGGCAAAAGAGAAAAATGGCATAAATAACAAAGAGGATAAGTATAACAAAAATAATGTTTAAATCACAGGGGCATAAGGGTCATACATTCCTAGAAGCCCGTCCACGTATGTCTCTGGGGAGACCAGCTTTGGAAAATCTATCTTGGAAGCCTCATGGAGGGAACAAGCCTGAAAACATGTTGTATTACCCCTGGAGGCCATTTATTCTGCATAAGAGAATGCTGCTTCGTGTAAGACATTGGTTAGTCACAGGAGATAGAAGCTGAACAGAACAGTCTCAAGAGAGAGATTGTTTTAAAAAAAATCCATAACCACAAGATAAGTGCTGTAATAAATGCTGGTACTATGAGAACATGCAGCAGGACACCTAATTAAAATAGGGAAAAAGAACTAAGGGGAAGGACGTGTAGGATTTGCCTGGGTAAGTAGGAAAGAAAAGAGAATGTTCCTGACATAGCATGTTTGGGAAGAAAAAGCATGGCAAATTCTAGAAGCAGAAATTTCAGTACAGCAGAGGCAGGCAGAATAAAATGGAGGTGACCTGAGTTGAACCTGGAATGGTAGGCAAGATCCAGGAGCTGAAGGGTCTGGTGCACCATGGTAAGGAGCTGCATGGATCTGAAAACCAAAAAGAAGTTACTGAAGGGTAGGAAGCTTGGAGGAGCACAGTATCTTTCCATTTTTGAAAGGACCACTTTGACTGCAGTGAGAGGACAGGTTGGATCTCGGAGGAGACTCAAGACAGGAGATCAATGGGAAAGCTGTTACAGTGACTCCATGAGAAAAGCCTGGAGATGGAGGGAAGGACTGGGGTAGGATGGAGAACAGGAATTAGTCATAAGAATAGCTCACATGTATGTGCTACACTCAATGCTTTCCGTGTAGGGTCTTGTTACACATACAAAATTCTATAAATATAAGTACTATTTTATTATGTAAAAAATGAGGAAATGCAAGTTTAAGGAGAAGATCAGCTCAAACTCAGGAGTTCCAAAAAGGCAAAAAGCTGGGATTTAAAACCAGGAAGTTCTAAGAGCTCCAGAGCTCTGTCTTTGATCTGCTTTACAGATAAACTTAGGAGGAAGGGTTGACAGTGGTCTGTGATCTACTGGTAGAATTGGTAAGAGGTAAAGGAGAAGGAGGGCACCTGTGTTGTGAGGCGGTAAGGGAGGCTGTTCACTTGGATACTGAATGCAAGAATAAATTCATGATTGATGAAGGGCAGGAGAAAGGAGCAATTTGGCCAGATTAATGAACACCTTGAGTTTGAGGTGGCTGCAGGATATCAGAGTGGATGGGCAGCTGGTAGGGTGGATCTAAGCCTGGATAAATGGAATGGACTGGCTGCCTAGTCTTTGGGGTTAGCAGCATATTAGTATATTCCTTGGGTGTGAGGTTGTAGAGAAATAATCCATGGAGAAAGAGGATAAAAGGCCTGAGAAGGAGCAGTCGTAGAGTTAGGAGCAAAATCAGGAGACTGTGTTGTCAGAAAAGCCAAGGAAATTGGCGCTTCATGACCAGGGGACAAAAAAAAAAAAAAAAAACATCAAGCACTCCTGAGAGGTTAATAGGATATGGACAGAAAAATAAGCCGTTTCATTTTGTAACAAAAGGGCTTTTTCCTGAAGGTGCAGGACTTGGTGAAAACCCAGTACAGTGCCCACACACAGGCCTTCAATGTCACTATTCTTCTAGAGATGACACAGTGACACCATTCTACAGATTACACATGCAGACAAGGGGACTGTTACTGGGTGTGCTAGTCTGTTCTCACCTCAAGACTGTGTAATTTATAAAGGAAAGAGGTTTAATGGACTCACAGTTCCACATGGCTGGGGAGGCCTCACAATCATGGCAGAAGGCAAAGGAAGACCAAAGGCATGTCTTACATGGTGGCAGGCAAGATAGCTTGTGCAGGGAAACTCCCAATTAAAACTATGGGATCTTGTAAAACTTATTGACTACCATGAGAACAGTATGGGGGAAACCGCCCCCCATGATTCAATTATCTCCCATTGGGTCCCTCCCACAATACGTGGGAATTATGGGAGCTACAACCCAAGATGAGATTTGGGTGGGGACACAGCCAAACCATATCACTGGGATATCTACTGCCTCTGTGGCCTCTCATGTTCTCCTTATTTGTGCATCTGACTTGACTTGGAAAAACAAATTCCAGTGCCCTTGAATTTGAGCTTAAATAGTTGGTGAAGCCATGTCCTAAAGCCTTTATGATTTACCAAAGTTGAACACTTAAGGCTAGAAATTTATTGTAAAAGTGATGCCTCCCGTTATCTCCAACAGCATGCTTTTTCTGAAGAAGAAATTGTGACTAGAAGCTTTCTTTGACGGAGAACCCCTCCCGAGATTACTAATTTCATTTCTAGAAACCATAATAAACTTTTGTTTTATAATTATACCATATTTAGAAATGGATGATATTAAGGTTTTTTACTTATTGTGTACCTTATATTTTTCACAACATTTTCACTGCTAATGTCTTGCTCTAAGACGGTCCATAGAGCAGAATCTTGAGGTGGCAGGAAAGAAACAGTAAGGAAAAACCATGGTTTATACAAAACAGTACTGTGAAATAGTCTGTTTCTAATTCCTGATTTTTTAAAAACTGATTATAAGACAAATAAAATTCTATAGCAGCCTTCATGTACTTGGCTCTCAACAATTAACAACTTATACAAAGTTCTGTGAGGTTCAGTAGTAATATTCACTTACTAAAGGGAAATTATGCATATGTATGATTTACTTCAGGTCACTTAAAATGTCAGTAGCATAGCCAGGAAGGAAATCAGAATGAATGTATTTCCAGCCACTGGAATTACAGTTTCTCCCAGTCTGAATATTTCCATTTAACTCTGTTGCACAGAGGATTAACAATTTTACTTCTCTCAGAATAGGAAAGATAAGATTCATCTTATTTCTGCTGTATTTGAAATTATGCAACCAAATTCAGTTTCACAGAATGTTATTAGGAAGAAAACCAACCCTATTCACTATATAAGGAAGTCTCTCTGCTTGCAAATGTTCACAAGATGAATGTACAGATGAAAGGCAAGCAATTTATTTTTATTTGATACTGAGAATGGCAATATAAACCTCAGTGAATTTGTCCTTTGAAGGAAATGCAAAATATAGGTCAAATATCTTTAGAACTGTATCAACATAAATAAGTAATGTAAATTGTGATTAGGCCAATTTTGAGTTATGGGACAAGTGTAGTAATCACACATTTCATCATAATGTTAGTATTAGTGTGTGAAGTATATACGTGCATATATACATATAAGATTCAGAAACTGCCTTTCAATTTCTGTTATTGATTGAATGAGTTATACCTGGAATACCATTACATTGCAAATCAGTCAGGCCTTAATACCTCTAAATGGAGCCTGAACAAGCTGAAACTCTAGATTGGGAACTATACACCACACTTTTATATCATAAGTGAATAAAAGCAATAGTTTTTTTTTAAAGGGTAGAAAGAAAAAGCAATAAGTATCGTATTATTTTCAAGCTGGAAGGGAACTTAGATAAAATATAATCAAATTCCTCCATTTTACAGACAAGTCAAAGAGGTCCCCAAGTAGTGGTTTCCTGTATTTACCATTTACTGTTTACTACACAATGGTTTCAGCGTACGCTGCTCAGGTGATGGGTGCATCAAAATTGCAGAAATCACCACTGATGCACTTTTCCATGCAATCAAACATCAGTGTTCCCCCAAAACTATTAAAACAAAAATTTAAGAAAGAAACAAATAGAAAAAAGAAGACTTCCCAAGTAGGATTTTCCTGTATTTATCACTATTTACTATGCATTGGATACAGTGTACACTGCTCAGGTGATGGGTGCGCCAAAATCTCAGAAATCACCACTAAAGCACTTTTCCATGCAATCAAACATCACCCGTTCCCCTTCAAACTCTGGAAATAAAAAAAATTTAAAGAGAAATTAAAACAAAGAGACAGACATCCTCAAATTCCCATAAATATGATGATTCCTACGTGTCACGGAAATTCCAATAAAGGAAAACAACTATGGAAAGCACACT
Organism: Homo sapiens; assembly: GCF_000001405.40. NCBI lineage: Eukaryota > Metazoa > Chordata > Mammalia > Primates > Hominidae > Homo > Homo sapiens. The sequence continues at coordinate 9,917,928 of NC_000010.11, read as the reverse complement.
GAACCCAAACAAATAATCAATAAAGAAATATAGAGCAAATAAAGTAACATGTTCTTGCATGATGCTAAGAAAACAAATTATGCAGTTTTTCAAAATTCAGGACTCCGTTTCCGACTTGGAAACCTGAGAAGAAGAGAGATGTGAATGTGTGGTTGAGACAGTTTTGATAATACCACAATGAGATGCATGCCCTGAAGCACTGCTCCTTACTACTAATCAACTAGATATATCTTGTAGCAACTAACCTCAGAAGCTTTTTGCTATAATTATCATAAAGACTTTAGAGTCTAATTTATTATGGTGGTATTTAAAACAATTTTTTGATTTCTATTTTAGACAGGATATATTTAAAACATCTTCTGTTTTTCAAGTGCTTGGCAAAAAACTATTAGTCTGTATCTCCATGCCATCCAAGTATCTCATTTACTTTATTCACTAAAGACCCTCTCCCTAAATACTGTAACTACCAATGTGGAGAGGTGTGGATCCTGTGTAGAATTGAAAGCCATCTGCTTGCTTTTCAACTTTGGCCTCCATCAGGGATAATAAACACATTCTTTAGAAGAAATTATCGTACTCTGAACTATCTTTCCTTGTTGGAAAAAAATGTTGCTGTATCCCTTACCCATTTTATTTTATTTTTCTTTATAATTAATGTACTTAGAGTAAAACAAGTCCCCTTCCTCAATTTCTTTGTCTCCTCCTCCTTCTCTTCTTTCTCCTCTTTGCCTTCTCTTTCTCCTCTTCTCTTCCTCATTCATAGTGGAAATTGCAATCTCCATTTTCCAATAATTTTGAACAGCAGAAAGAATTTTATATGGAAAAACACTGGCAAAAATTTTTATATGAACTTTCCCCTGATATTTGGGTATTACCATGACCTGGTGATATATGTACATTTGTCATATGATTGTGGGATCCATAGAACAAACACACTCCCTTCTACTGATTCATTTCATAGTCCATTCTCATAGGATGCCCCCATTACTTGAGCTTATATCTGCTAGAACCTTTGCTTGAAGTTGAACATGAGAATTTACCCAACCTACTGAGCAAAAACAGTCTAACTCTATCTTTATTTAATATCAAAAGAAAAATAATGAAAGGAAAAGAGAGGATTCTTAACAGAATTAAATTATGATCTATCTATTATGTTGTTTTTTTTTTAAGGTGGAGTCTTGCTCTTGTCACCCAGGCTGGAGGGCAATGGCGCAATCTTGGCTCACTGCAACCTCTGCCTCCCGGGTTCAGGCGATTCTCCTGTATCAGCCTCCTGAGTAGCTGGGATTACAGGTGCCTGCCACCATGCCTGACTAATTTTTGTATTTTTAGTAGAGACAGGGTTTCTCAGGCTGGTCTTGAACTCCTGACCTCAGGTGATCACCTCGGCCTCCCAAAGTGTAGGGATTACAGGCATGAGCCACAGCACCTGGCCTCATGTACTTTCTTAAAAGAATGTGTGATGCATAGTAAGTACTAACTAAATATTAGCAATTTATCGTTTTCAGAGATTAAAGATTTATACAGTTGTTCAACTAAAACCAATCTCAGAGGCGTATATGGGCTAAACGATAATAAACGTGGGTAATCACTTAGGCTTACTTAGTTCCTCAGGGAAGAAACATTAGTAGACTGTGCAAACTTAGACATGCACTGATTTGGCAATAACATTCCAGTGATTATATAACCCTATATTTAGAAAAAAATTGAAAAACTTTTAACCTAGCAATTACACTTCTAGAAATGTGCCTCAGGGACATAATCATATTCATAAAGACATAGCTGCAGGGGTGGTCATTATAAGATTGTTTATAGTAGCAAAAAAGTTGGAATGGCCAGCAATATGAAATGCATTTAATAAACTATGGTAGAACTCTGCTAGAAAAGTATTTAACAACATGGAAGTATCTTCACAAGTTTATTGTAAAATGGAAAAGCAAATTATAGAAGTTTATGAATAAAAGATATCAGGTTATTCTTCAGATGTCTCAGTCTTTCTTCTACCTGACTTATACCACCTTATTCAACAGGTAGGTCACCTTCGGTCCTCATCTTACCTGATTTCATAGTAGCAACTGACACTATGAACTGTCTCTTGAAAATCACTTACTTATGTTGGTTATCTAAACCAACATGTTCCTGTCCTTGTCTCCTACTATTTTGAGCACTCTTTCTCTATACCTCTGTCAAGCTTTGCCTTCACCACCCACGTAAAATGCTTGCATGCTCCCAGCCACAGTACTGGGCTCTCTCATTTTCTGATTTCATTTCCCATCTTGCAGTGTTACCTTTTATATCATTAGTTTTAATTTCTATCTATATACAGATGATATTTATAGATATAAACTTCATTTCAGAACTTCTGTTTAAGCTTAGATCATATGTCCAACAATGCGGCTGTGGTACTTTGATTATTTAAAAAGCAAATCAAACTCAAACTCAACACATCTAAAATGAGACACATTATTACTCATGGAATCACCCACTTCAACCTGGTTGTGACCTGGTGCCCTTTCAAAGATTCCTATCTCTAAATGGAACTGCTATCTATTAACTTATGCAAGACACAATAATTGATGCCATTTTTAATATCACCCTTACCTCTAATAATAATGTAGCACAAGTCCTATCTATTTTCTCTTCTGACAGTCTGTCAAATGAGTCCATCTCTTCCCAGCATTGTCCTCTCCCTTGTCTACGTAACCACAAGTCTCACCTGAACTGCAATCATAGATTCTTAAATGTCCTCACTATTTCCGCTCCACCTTATCTCCAACTCGTTTGTACAGATGTCATTAAATCAGCCCCTCCTTAATTACTACAGTGATTTTTGATTGCACTTAGCTAAAGAGAAATTATTGATTCGTAGCCTACTAAGTGCAGTCCCAGTCCCATGCTCTCCCTCTTTCATTTCCAGCTACTCTGGTCTTCTTTTACCCTCCCATATTCACCAATTCTATAGAACTTTTGAACAGGAGACAATTATAATCCCCAAAGATGCAATACTAGAGCTGTAATCTCAAAGGTTGAAATCCTGAAAGATCAAAATCCTGAAAATATAATTCTGGGAAGAATAATACAAAATTCTTCAAAACATACATATTTGTACTTTTATAGGGAGATTTATTTGAGAAACATACAAAAACACAGGCCCCTTTGCACAGTAGAAGAGGTGATAATAACATACCTAGTTTTTGCATGTATAAACACTCAGATCTAATGACAGTCACATGAGTATATCAGTTATGAACAGATTAACCATATCCATAAAGAAATAGGCCAAAAAGGAAAATGTATAAATACATGTCACTATGGCTGGTAGTTGGGTGCACCCAACTTTATAACTGCGGTGATCTAAAATACCATGAGGAACAACCTGTTTTTTGATGAGATCAATCAAAAAGCATGATAGATCACCATCACATATGCAGTCATCCAAAAAGTTGAGATCTTGAGAAATCTTATTTTTCACAAATGCTGATGTACAAAAAGGACACCTCTGTATTTATTGAGGAAGTTTCAACATTTTTAGATACATGCACAACGCTTACACCCAAAGTAAACATTGTGATAATGCACTTTTATGGAGTCAGACTTGCAAAAAAATGCATAAAACGAATTAGAACTCCCTAAAAGTCTCTACACAATTGGTGTCTCCAGTAATAGAAATGATGCAGACATGAAATACACAAGATAGGAAGATAAAATGCAGAGTAAAAATTCATGCTGACAATTAAAATACTGTTAAAAACACTGAAAAAAGAAAAGAAAAAAGAAAATGTTACATATGAATAAGTGTATTACAGGGATTAGCCTATGACTAATTGCACAGAGGTACTGACTGACTTGGATGATCATTAATAAAATTTGAATTCTTGCATCATGATGAATATCTCCTTTTTTAAATTTTAGGGCATGGCTCTTCTCAGAGGATATGTTCACATCATTTTCTATACGGCACAGCTCATTCTGAAATTCTGTAATTTGAGATACACGGACGTGAGCATTCCCTATTACATGTTACCATTTTTTCTGCCATGTTTTCATGCTATTTGGGCACATGGAAATCCATTTTTCATGCACTCACATAGAGGCCACAAATTTGGCAGAAATAATCATGTCTTCTTATCCTGACATGCACATAGTTATTTCTGAACCAGTCAGTAACTTTTCTAGCTTCTTCAGGTAAATTTGTTTCTAATTTACTAAAACTTCTGGAATTTCATCAGCTGAGAGCAATGCCAAAGCAGGCAAATGACACATTTTTAAACTGAAGTTTTCATTGTTACTGTATAGTGTGGCCTATCCACTCATCTGAATTTTCCACTAAATGCATTGGGTTGAATGGAAAAAGCAAACTTTATTGGTAACAGCTTGAAAGTCACTTTGTGAAGCCTTGATCTCACTTGATTCCAAATCTATCACTATGGTTTAGAGGTTCAATTAAAATCCATTTTTCTTCTGCAAAGTCCACCAAACCTTCAAATAAGCTTTTAAAAAGTGCTTCACTTTTTCCAGTCATTAATACATAAAGGAGGGGAGATTTATAAGATTTTTTGATCCATTAAGGTCATGAATTGTACATAGTTGAGAAGAAACAGTGGGGATAGTTTTGAAAGTGCCAATCCATTAGGCAAAGTGAAACATATGCTAGTTTTGTTTTTGTTTTTGTTTTGTTGTTGTCATTGTTGTTTTTGAGATGGAGTCTTGCTCTGTCACCCAGGCTGGAGTGTAATGGCATGATCTCTACTCACTGCAGCCTTCGCCTCCCAGGTTCAAGTGATTCTCCTGCCTCAGCCTCCTGAGTAGCTGGGATTACAGGCACCCGCCACCATGCCCAGCTTTTTTTTTTTTTTTTTTTTTATATTTTTAATAGAGACAGGGTTGCACCATATTGTCCAGGCTGGTCTCGAACTCCTAACCTCAGGTAATCTGTCCACTTCGGCCTCCCAAAGTGCTGTGATAATAGGCGTGAGTCGCCGTGCCCGGACAGCATGTGCTAGTTTTTTAACATTAGCTTTAGTGGTAAATACAAGAAGTTTATCTTCTTTGGTAGTCAAATTCCTCAAGAAGAGTTCACCCTTTAACGTGTTTTGCAATCCTGAAGAAACCTCAATATCAGCAAGTGTCTTTGGTTCAGAAGATCACTGAGTTTGTCTAATTATTTTTATTCTCTGGAGGAGGCGTTTTTTGAAGGCAAACATGGTGCCGTGTGTGGAGGGTCAGAAGTTGTATGTGATGAAATAATTTGGCAGGAGAGATTTCTTATGTTTTTCACCTGTATTTTCTCCTCTTCCCACGATCTTCAAAACACCCAAGGCACTTGTATTTGGAGAGTGGTTGCAATCTACAAATTTTGTAAGCATATGCTGTCCATTTCAATGTATGATTATTGCTAGGCCATCACAATGAAGAGATATTCTGTTTTCACAGCACCAGGTATAACTAATTTTTAAACTTTTATTTCTCACCATTAACTAGCCTTGTACACTTAACTTATCACAGCCTTCTTACAGGAGAATAATTTCACAGATCTCTTCCATTGTGCTGTAAGAAATACAGTAAGAAAGAATGCTATTACATTTCCCCAATACCAGTTTAGTCAAGTATCTCTAGGAAGATAGAACCAATAAGCTATTGAAGTGGTGTCATTGTCTGGGGTAAATAACTGAGCTTTGACATCTCACACCAAGGAAATCGAGGACACAGACACACAAGAAGTGAGTTTAAGACTGGAGGTTTGGCCGGGCGCAGTGGCTCACGCCTGTAATCCCAGCACTTTGGGAGGCTGAGGTGGGTGGATCATGAGGTCAGGAGTTTGAGACCAGCCTGGCCAACATAGTGAAACCCTGTCTCTACTAAAAATACAAAAAATTAGCTGGGCGTGGTGGCAGGAGCCTGTAATCCTAGCTACTCAGGAGGCTGAGGCAGGAAAGTCACTTGAATCCAGGAGGCGGAAGTTGCAGTGAGCCAAGATCACCCTGCTGCAACACCAGGCAGGGAGACAGTGCAAGACTACATCTCAAAAAGAAAAAAAAGAGTGGAGATTTAATAGGCAAGAGAAAAGAGACAGGCTCTCTCTCCTCACTAGAGCCCCTCACTAGAGAGGGGCTCTCTAGTGGGTCTTCCAGTTCCCTGGTGAATTGCAGGGGGTTTTATAGAAGAGCTTGAGGAGGCGGTGCCTGATTTACGGGGCCCAAAAGATCCGTCGAACCAGGTGTTCCATTTACATAGGGCTCGAAGAAGCTGGCCACTCCACCCTAATCTTTTATTATGCAAATAGACTCTCTACCTGGCCTGCACCATGTTGCCTGTTTCTTTGTGGTTGACAAAGAAAAGGGAAGATAAAGCCTCCTCGAACATGCCTGGCGCCCAGGTAGCCTCTTCCTATTGGCTTAGCTGCTGGCATTCACCCATGCAAGCTTCCAGCTTGCTTTTCTATGTCTGCAGCTTGACTTTACAGGCTGCTGTTTGTTAGAAAAGAAATTATTTGGGTGCTGCTTTTGTTAGTAGGGAAACCTTACCAAGGACTCTCTTACCCTGACGAGCTACCCAAATAATTTCTTTCCAGCTCCTGTATCACTATGTGTACAAAAATATGAGAGAGGATTTATTAAAGGAGTTGGCTCATGAAATTACAGTGGCTGAGAAGTCCCACCACAGGCCATCCACAAGCTGGAGACCCTGGGATGCCAAAAGCTGCAGGACCCTGTGGGCCCCTGGTGCAAGTCCTAGAGTTCAAAGGGTGGTGAGCCTGGAGTTCTGATGTCCAAGTTAGCAGAAGAAATGTCTGTCCCACCTCTCAGAGAGAGACAAGTTCACCTTCTGTATTTGTTCTCTCCCAGCCACAAGCCAGTAGGATGGTACCCAACAACATTGAGGGGATACTTTCCCATTTAATCCACTTGGACTCATGCACTGATCTCCCTTGGAAACACCCTGTGATGGTTAATATTGAGTGTCAACTTGATTGGATTGAAGGATGCAAAGTATCCTACCTGGGTGTATCTGTAAGGGTGCTGCCAAATGAGATTAACATTTGAGTCAGTGGACTGGGAGAGGCAGACCCACCCTCAATCTAGGTGGGCACCATCTAATCAGCTGCCAGTGAGGCTAGAATAAAGCAGGCAGGAGAAGATGGAAGAGCAGACTTCCAGGCTTAATTTTTCTCCCATGCTGGATGCTTCCTCCCTCGAACATCAGACTCCAAGTTCTTCAGCTTTTGGATTCTTGGCCTTACACCAGTAGTTTGTCAGGGGCTCTCAGGCTTTTGGCCACAAACTGAAGGCTGCACTGTTGGCTTCCCTTCTTTTGAGGATTTGGGACTTGGACTGATCTGCCACTGGCTTCCTTGTTCCTCAACTTGCAAACAGCCTATGGTGGGATGTTACCTTGTGATTGTGTGAGTCAATTCTCCTTAATAAACTCCCTTTCATATATACAGATACCCTATTAGTTCTGTCCCTCTAGAGAACTCTGACTAATACACACCCTCACAGATACCCTAAATGATGTTTTATGAGGTTTCTAGGCATTTCTTAATCCAGTCAAGTTGGCACCTCAAATTAAGTCCATAAGTCTACACCTTGTCAACTTGGCACCCAGAGGCATCTTTTTAAACCATACTTAATTTATATAAATAAAGGCAATACCAAAGGAATAGTTCCACATAACATGATGCAACTATTCTGTGCTTGTGATTTTTGAGATTTTAGATGTTAGGGATTTTAGACTTTAGGGATTTTGATCCTTTGGGATTTCAACATTTAGGATTATGGAGTTTGAGGTTGTGTATTTTAGTATTATTATCCAAACCTCATGTCCTGAACCCCATCAATCATGAAGATTAAATAAAACATTTACAAAAAGTTTAAAGTGTCTATCAGATAATAACTACTTAATAGCTATTTTTAATAGTTGAATATTATTTTGAAATTATTTTTATGCATTCTACCAATTCAGATGTTTGTAGTCATTTGACATATTTTTATTAGAAATCTAATAAAATTAACATAATATTATATTTTTTTAATTTTAAAGACAGATTATGTGTAATCATATTAAATAACAGAATATAGTCATTTCTAATATTAATAATTAATTTTTTACACGGGCCAAAGATGTGATTTTGTTGTCATAGGTCTTAGTGGGAGTATCGTGAGGAAAATGGGGCCGAAAAAAAGAAGAGTGAATCAGCTCAATTTCAAATGTTCACCGGCCACAAAATTGATCATTAGATCATAAATTCAAAGTGAAAGAAAATAATGACAAGATCAATCATATTGGACATATTGCCAGGCGGCTCAAAAACAGAAGACATTCAAAATCCCAGTACATAAGGTTGAATGAGTAATTGTGCCAAGTGTCATATGAGTGAGATTCCCAGAGGTACAAATAAATAAATCCAAAAAATCAATATGCCACGAGGTTGACATTTCACACACTGATTTCCCTTGCTCCCTTTTCCCATCTTTGCTACATAGAAAGGGATAGAAATGTCCTCCAGCGGATGTCCACATAAGTAGGGATGGACTCTCTGCCAGTCGAATTGGAGACACCAGATACTGTTAGTGCGGCTGGACTAACTAGATGCCAACCATATGCATACAATAGGAAAGAGGGGACACGGGAAGACATCTGGTTAATAAGAAACAGAAACCCAGCTAAATAAATGTTAGTATTTTTGAATGAAGAACAGTGGTAATAATATAAAAAAATTCTCAATTTTCCAAGACTCTATGTATTCACTTCTGAACATTCAGGTTGTATCAACAGGTCTCGATTTGATTGGTCTCGCCCAGTTTTATTCTCTACAAAAGAATGCCCTCCTCCCCTAAGATAGCCACAATATTTCTCAGCGGCTCCATGACTATAAAAATTCTCTTTTCATGTCTCATAACTCCTCTGGATGTTTTCTTCTGCATTTTGTTTCCACTAACACACTACCCTTAGGTAAGATCTTCTCCACTCCTCACCCTGTCCCCTTGAACCTCCCTATCCACTCCATCTCATGATAGAATGACAGTACAACCCAGGGCTGTGGGGCCTGTATGGTGACTTGGGTGGCAAGGGGAAAAATACATAAAGAGATTATTCCCTATTTTATTTTCCCTCTTTACCCTCAGTATAGAGATCACTGATAATAGTAACTAGTAATTTGGATGTGTGTCCCCACCCAAATCTCATATTGAAATGCAATCCTCAATGTTGGAGGTAGAACCTGGTAGAAGGTGACTGGATAATGGCAAGTGAATTTCTCATATATAGTTTAGCCCCATGCCCCTTGGTACTATCTCTGTGATAGTGAGTGAGTTCTTTGGAGATCTGGTAGTTTAAAAGTGTGTGGCACCTTCCCCCTCACTCTCTCCGGCTCCTGCTCCCACCATGTGAGCCAGCTGCTCCCTGCTGGCCTTCTGCCATAATTGGAAGCTTCCTGAAGCCTCTCCAGAAGCCAAGCAGATGTCAGCACCATGCTTCCTGTAAAGCCTCCAGAACCATGAGCCATGTAAATCTCTTTTCTTTCTAAATTCATCAGTTTCAGGTCTTTCTTCACAGCAATGGGAGAATGGACTAATAGAGAAATACCACCCCCTCTACAACCTTCCTCCTCTTTATTTGAAAGCTTTTGCTGACATTCCCTTGCCAGCATTTAGAATGTATAATAAAATGCTAATGAATCTTATCTCAATCCTTTGTGTGTCCTAAGCCCATTTTTAGGGAGAACAAAAATTCTTTTTCACTGAGGGTTGTTCTGGTTTACTTCCATTGTCCCAGAGCAAGTATTTAGCCCCTACTTTAACTTTTTAAAAGTGGCCTGTTTTGGAAGATAAGTCATATGGACTTTGTGCTTATAGGGCAGAAGTGAAAAAAATTCATGGGGAGGAATGAGCACAGGAAAAAATGATTATTTGTATCCATTGTCTGATTTGCATTGCTAGTGGGAAACAACTCTATCACTTAAAAAAGGCAAGAAGGGCCAGGCACGGTGGCTGATGCCTGTAATCCTAGTACTTTGGGAGGCTGAGGTGGGCAGATTTTCGCCTGAGTTCAGGAGTTCAAGACCAGCCTGGGCAACACAGTGAAACCCAGTCTCTACTAAAATACAAAAAATTATCCAGGCATGGTGGCATGTGCCTGTAATCCCAGCTACTCAGCAGGCTGAGACAGGAGAATCACTTGAACCCGGGAGGTGGAGGTTGCAGTGAGCCAAGATCACACCATTGCAAGCCAGCCTGGGTGACAGAGCGAGACTCTGTCTCAAAAAAAAAAAAAAAAAAAAAAAGCAAGAAGGAAGATTAGAGTAGAAAACAAACAAACAACTCCCCCACCACCCATCCCCCGTACACATCAAGGGAATTAGGTGCTATGTCTGCATCCAGAGAAGGAAGGGACTCCTGTCCAGTAGCAATAGTTGCAGCAGTGGAATGAAAGCTGGCAGGTTAATTTTTACTTGGTGAGGGAAAAGCAGAGGCATCAGGAGCACGCTATTTGGGACCCTCAAACCCCCTAGATGACTATGAGGAGAGTCACGTGTGTGGTGGTGGTGGCACGGGGACAATAGAGGGAACAGGAGAGCAGCAATTTCTGGCTGGGCTGTAGGCAGTGGTACTTTTTCTATTCTTCCCCTTCCCCATTAGAATTCTGAGTCTGCTTTTGCAGAAACATTGTTATACATGGTGATTAAGTTCTATAATTCCATTAGCAGAGTACTAAGCTTCAGATACATTGAGCTTAATTAAGCTTTTATGGAAAGGCCTGGGGAATTAAACACCATGTATAACATTGTTCATTTGAAAAAATGTATTCCCAAATGTAAACAACTGCTCAACAGACAAACTTCTGGAATACTATTTCTTTGAAAGTTATGGATTAGAAAACGCCTGATCAATTGTTTTCAAACCAAGCTGCCCATTAGAACCATCAAGGAGCTTTTTAAAAAATGCTGTGACATGGGCTCCACACCTTAAGATTCTAATTTAGTTTGCCTGGGGTGAGGTCTGCAGATAAGTAATTTTAAAGAGCTCCATGCAGCAGGGTTGAGAACCACTAGACTAATAAATGGGTCTTGGATTTAAATTTAAATAAGTAGGTCAGGAGGATTTGTTTTCATTACAAAGGGGCATTTTTTTTTTCCTAATATAATTCACTTCCACTTTCTTAAATATTATTCAACCTAAGCCACCATTTTAGTTGAGCCTTTTCAAAAAAGACACACATAGTGTAAAAATAAATACACCTCCAAAAGAACAAATAAATAAATAAATACACCTTCTTACCAAACATAGTTACCATTGACTCTTTTAGAGACTTACTGTACACTGTTAAAAAGGAAAAATTCTCAACATATTGACAACAGAAAATTTCATAAGAAATTAATTCCATATATTTGAAAGATTTCATGCTTTTTCAGTCCCATCCTGCAGGATTCTGGCAAATTTTTAGTGTAGAATTGAGTCATAAAACCCTTCCTGAAGGTCCCCTAAGCAAGGTTTTGCTGCGCCAGTGGAGACCAGTGTTGTGGAGATGAAGTTTATTAAGCATATGAACTCCTCCAAGTTCAGAATGAAGGGCTAATTATAAGAGCCAGATTTTTGCATAGACAGGGTTAATGGTATTATCTCCATTGGTAACACTCAGGCAATTCAGGAAATCCTGTGGTCTCCCCAAGTCCTCTACTTGTCGTAAATGAGGGGCCACTAGAGCAGTCTCACAACCCTGCAGGGAGGTCCTCCAGCCCACTGCTCTTGCTCCACTGCCATGCAGTCTTCTTCTGTCTTCCTTGTTAGCTCACTTTCTCATTCTTCACAGAACAAGTGTATCTGAATATCTTTTGAAAATTTTGCTAAGAATGTAAAATTTCATGTAATGAAGACTATGTTCCTTCCCAGTCTCCACTGACTTCCATTCAGTGAATGCAAAAGTATGTATGTACATTTTTGAGGGCTCTAAAATAACAGGAATGTGTCAATGCTATGAATAGTAAAGAAGAGGTGGTCTCCCTGATTAGATTTCTTTATCCTCCACACTCAGCCATAGGCAAGGTAGGGAATAAGTGAACACACTCACTTTCCTTGTGTGTAAATAACCATGGTATGTATGCACATTTTACACATCAAGTTATGAAATTTATTACATTTATATACATAAATTACTATTTAACCAAACTCCAAGAAAAAGTGCTATGTGCTCAGTGTTCCTTATTTGCAGTTCATTATTAATATGACTATAAATTAAATATAGAAAACAGATAATACACAGAAAATAACTAGTTTAATTTCTATTACCCCTAAAATAAAGCAGTAGTTACTTAGGGGTATTTTGAGAGACATAATAAACTGAAACTCATGTGTGCAATACTTTGGTTTCAGTTAGGCAGGTGATTAAGAAAAATGATTCATTCATTTACAAATTTCTGGCCGGGCACAGTGGCTCATGCCTGTAATCCCAGCACTTTGGGATGTGGAGGTGGGTGGATCAATTGAGGCCATGAGTTCAAGACCAGCCTGGCCACATGGTGAAATCCCATCTCTACTAAAAATACAAAAATTAGCCAGGTGTGATGGCACATGCCTGTAATCCCAGCTACTCAGGTGGCTGAGACACAAGAATTGCTTGAACCTGGGAGGCAGAGGTTGTAGTGAGCTGAGATTGTACCACTGCACTCCATCCTGGACAACAGAGAGAGACTGTCTCAAAAAAATAAAATAAAACAAAAAATAAATATAGAACTTTCTATTGCACAACTACTATGTGGGAGGCAAGATTCCATGAATTGAGAGTAGAGAGGTGAATAAATCAGACAAAAATCTTTGCCCTCTCAGAGCTTATATTCTAGTAGGAACTTACAATTTTGTGCATGGCATATAATGTACTCTTGAAAAACTATCTCTAAAGTTTTTTTTTGAACATATTCTTCAACATTCATCCAAGCTAAATTTGTATACTTTCAACTACAGATACTGAAAAGAATGAGGTGGCAGTAAAGGGTTTGGTCAATGAAAATAGAGGAATTATATGGGATGGAACATTAGAAGGAGTAGAAAGTAAATGGATTAAGAAACCATTCTCACTATAAAAAAATTCTCTGATCCCAAGGGTTGCCGGGATCAAAGTTGTCTGCTCAGAATTAAAACGACTGAAATCCTGCATATTTTTAAAGTGTGTTTGCTCATTTTTTTATCCATGTGCATGCCTTTAAGAGTTCTACTATAAAAGTACCAGTGCTGCACTCTGTCTTGCATGCTAAATTATAATAAGAATAATGGGATGGGGAGAATAAATCTTTCCAAACAGACAAATCTAGTCTGGAACAGTGAAAATGAAGAAGCCTTTGAAGAGGAAACAAATGGAAAATTAGATGGGAAGGAGCCTGCAGAGAGTGGCACACAGCAGTCAAAGATGAACTGAAATAACCTTGCCTAAAAGAACAAAGGGTAAGAGCTGACTGCTGCCAAGGGCGGGGCCAAGGTGCAGGTACTGCCAGAGAGAACCAAAGACAGTGGAGCCATCAAGCCAAGGAGAATAAAATGACTTTGTGTGATTCTGAAGGGGAGAGGAAGGTGGTGATTATGAAATGCAAACCCTAATGAGATTTCCAAATGTAATTGCATTTCTGTAACTTTAACTGTAAAATAACTGTAAATTTAACCTGCCAATGTCAGCCTTGAAGACATCAACCAAGAAGCTAAGAGAGACTATCATCCCCCAGTTTTAAGCCATGTGTAACTTACCACTCATTAGGATAATCCTACTCCTGGAAAGGGTCATCTATATAAAATAAAATAGACTCTTTGAGTTTCCTAGCAAAAACGGAAGTGAGATATATACATATATATATTTTTTTTCATGCTTCTCGGTAGCTTAAAAAGTTTAAATTGTAAAACATATCAAAGTTTGTAAGAGACCTTCAGTAGAGTGAGTAAAACTGCTCCTTTCTTAGAGATAAAACACCTTTCTCCCCAAGACACTTAATACTGATTTCTGAATCAAAAGGGAGAGAAAATACATCTAAGATTCCTCTAGTGTATGCTATTAATACTACTTGTATTTGATTGCTGGGATATCATGGACCTGGATGTTTTAATTATAGTGGGTAATTTGACACCATTGAGGAGAACAAACTGTGATTATGTTCTCTATTTGTTCTCAGTATTTCCTATGGGCACATATCTCCTACTGAAATAGAATAGTTGGACTTGCAGGCCTGGGGTGGTGGCTCACGCCTGTAATCTCAGCACTTTGGGAGGCCAAGGTGGGTGAATCACCTGAGGTCTGGAGTTCGAGACCAGTCTGGACAACATGATGTAACTCCCTCTCTACTAAAAATTAGAAAAAATTAGCCAGGCATGGTGGCAGGCACCTCTAATCCCAGCTACTTGGGAGGTGGAGGCAGGAGAATCACTTGAACCTAGGAGGAGGTGGAGGTTGCAGTGAGCTGAGATCTCGCCACTGCACTCCAGCTTGGGCAACAAGAGAAAAACTCCACCTCAAAACAAATACATAAATAAATAAGAAAGGCATTCAATGAGATTTTAGCCGAAGAGTCAACATTCTTTTCAATGACGAAGGGATGGAAGAAACATTTCCACATATCAAATAGAAACTTAGAAAGATCTGTGGGGTTTTCTCAAAGATATGTCAGTAACAGTGTAATGGGAACTTCCTCACAAGGTCATGATTAGCCTTCAATTGTTCAATTTTTTTCTCTATGACTTCCAAGATGTTCCAATTTGAGTTATATATTCCTTTTATAACCCTGATCTCATTAGCTATGGCTCTTTAGGAGCTGGGACTGCCAGCCATTTCAGAGTCAAAGAATCCTGGATTCACTCTCACACTTACTACTTTCGTAAAATTGAGCCATGTCCTTTAAGCTCTCAAAATCGTACTTTCCCCTTCTGTGAAATGGAGATAATCATAGTTACTAACTCAAAGTGTTGTTACAAATATTCACTGAATGTGGGCTGCACAGTGCTTGGGATACTCAATAAACTTTAGCAGTAATAATTAATAATAATAATACTCATTATTCTTATTGGTTGCCTCAGCACTTGTTATAGTATCTTGCACCGAAAGTTAATGCGTAAAATGGTGGTAACTCCAGCAGTTCACAGGTTTCCTGCTGCCCATAGAAAACCTAGAATAGATATATTAATAAAATGGTAAACCAAATAGTTGGATCCTTGGTTGATTTTCTTCCAGAGGATTTTATCAAGAGTTTCTGTAAAATAGCTCTGTTCTTTCCCAACCCTCTTCTTCATAAATTAATAACTGGGCTCAAGTGTACTTAACTCAGTGTACTGCATTTGCTACTAAATATATACACAAAAATGCATTTCAAATAAATCTATTCTGTTGAGCACAAGACTAAAATTATATTGCATCAATCTACTAAAATAAAAAAAAGAATCACAAATGACTCCATAATTAAACAAAGCAAAAACTACTTTAGTGTTAATGGTGCATCAAACATTCATTTTTGTGATAAATAATAGAAACTTGTTTATACTCAATTAATCTAGACATCTATATTGACTCAAAACTATTTGGACTTCCTTGATTAATTTTGACATCTCAGAGTCTGTGATTCCTAGTTCCTGATTTGGATGTGAATACAGCCTAACTAAAAAGTCTAAAGAAATATCTTTTGTTTCCTAGCGTAGCTGAGTATTACAGCTATTTGCAACTGAGCTGCTTATTGCAAAATTTTGACACAGTTCATTTTCTTAATCTGTGTAGTTTGGCTGCTCCCCAAAATTAAGCTCCTTATTAACCATCTCTGCACATGTTATAGTTTTTAAAAGCATATCATGTTTTTATTCCTTGTTTTCCATAGTTTAATGTGGTGTTATATACCCTCTAAAATATGATTTCCCTTCAGTTAGGGTAGGAATGTTCACTAATGTACTTTGATGGTCAGGAAACTGAAACACAGTTTCTTCCAACACATAATGATTTGAGGAACAGAACATGTGAAGATTAGTACCGCTATAGAGACATATTTCTTCAAATTAAATGGCAAGAAATGTAAATATATTAATTACAGTGGTGGAAGTAATTTTATGCTCTATGCTGATTTGTTGTGACTCTATAGTTTATAAGGAATATACAGTTATCTTATATATTGCCATAATTAAAGTCTCTCAATAGAATATGGAAATATAACAAATATTTAGATTTTAATTTTTATTCTGCTGGTAAGATCATGTCACATCATTAACTTCTTTTCTCCAGTCAAATAAATGCACAGAAATTTCACAAGGTTCTTCCCCACTTACCCTTCCTAATTTTTACACCCAAGACTCATTTCATGATGATTAACTTCTTGGAAGACAGACTGGCTCTTTATAGAGTAGAGGCAGCTGTGGCAAATATAGGCTGTAGCACTTTAGAGCTTATAGATTTAACAATGAACTGCTCAATCAAGAAGAAGGAATTTCACGTATGAAAGTCTGACTACATCACAGATCTCTCTTAATTGAGCCAATTCCTGTTCTATGGAAAAGACACCTTCATATAAAGATTAGTTCGAAGCTACCAAGGTCATCAAATAATGACACTTGACTGGATTTTCTTGTGATTAAATACTACCTTAAACAAATGCAAAATAACCTTGAGTCCTTCTCAACTGATGAAGAACGATAGATGGTTTTGAGGGTTTCAGGTTCAAGACTGTGGTGATAGGTTCATTTCTCCAAAGTGTTGATTTGGTTCTTTTCTCTTGTAAGAATGTATAGAATGATAACCCAGCTGTGCCCTAACCATATGTTCAGACTCACACAAAAGTCAAATCAGCTTTCTTTTTCTAAATTACTTCCTCCCTTGATGTATGGACCTTATTTATAACCTCCCTTTGTGTAGTCATAACACTATCACATAGGGCTTAGTTTCTGAAAACCATAGCAATTGCCTGAAAATTGATTTGATGTCTTTTGCCCATCCCTCCCTTAGGTCCCTGAAGACATTTTAATATGAGCCATGACATTATGATGGATGAAATCTGGCATTTTACTGTAGCAATGCTACTCCCATGTGGAAAATAACAGCTTGTTCAAAAGCTGGTCTTTCAGCCAGATTTAGAATATACAGTAAGCCACATTTCCAATCTTTTCCCTTTTCTTTCCCCTCAAAATTTCTTTCCCAAACTTCTTTGTGTTGATTATCAAATTTTCCAAGTATCACAGGTTGAAGCTAATTGAAGTTCACATAATAATAACAATAAACATCACCAAAAGACAAGGTTAATCATGAATAAGAAAAAATCTGAATATTTGAACATAGAGTAAAATAATTATTCAACACAAATGCCCATCTGCAAAATCACCAACCTTCTGTTGATTTGTGAAGCAATTTTATATTTTTAAGAGATATTGTAAGGCTTACAAGAAACTGCATCTCTAATGCCAGGTAAGACAGATGCAAAAAAAAAAAAATCATTGTTTATTCTTTAATAAACCCTACTTTCTCATTTGTAAATTATAACTTTTTTTCTAAATTTATATTAACTACCATAGTCAACTCTTTAAGGACTAATAAATACAAATGTCTTTACTGATTTCCTAATAAAAGAGAGAGAAAATACATTTAAGATTCCTCTAGTGTATGCAATTAATACTACTTATATTTGATTGCTGGGATATCATGGACCTGGATGTTTTAAATATAGTGAGTAGTTTTGACACCATTGAGGGGAACCAACTGTGAGTATGTTCTCTGTTTGTTCTCAGTATTTCCTATGGGCCCATATCTCCTACCGAAATAGAATAGTTGGACTTGCAGGCCCGGGGTGGTGGCTCACGCCTGTAATCCCAGCACTTGGGGATGCCAAGGTGGGCAGATCACCTGAGGTCAGGAGTTCGATCCCAGCCTGGTCAACATGGTGAAACCCCACCTCTACTAAAAAATACAAAACTTAGCTGGTTGTGGTGGTGTGCACCTGTAATCCCAGCTACTCGGGAGGCTGAGGCAGGAAAATTGCTTGAACCCAGGAGGTGGAGGCTGCAGTGAGCTGAGATCGTGCCACTGAGCTCCAGCCTGGGTGACAGAGCAAGACTCCATCTCCAAAAAAAAAAAGAACAGTTGGACTTGCAGAAAAGATGGAAATACATTGTAATAAAAACATAAAAACTACATAAAAAGTAAAAAAAACTAATGTAATATTGATGCACTTCACCCATATAACTCAATATTTATTTATTTAATGACCTACTATAAGCAGGTGACTGATTATTAATGTGAAGAAAGTGATACTGGTTAATGAGTATTGAATTCAGAGATCCGAACTTCCAGAGTGCAGCCCTGTTGCAGATCTGTTTCATGTCAGGGGAGGATAGAATAGCATTTTCATTCCCCACACTCATTCATGATTAAATGATAAAATGAGGCAATCATTGTCAATAAACATATACCTTGTGAATTACTTAGCCACCTGCATAATTTCAACATTGAGAGGAGATTGAACTGAAGGTAAAATGTGGTTCATGCCGTGGGCATTTGGTATTGGTCCAGTTTACTTTGTGTATGTTAATTTGACTTAATTTACTTTTCAGTTTCACTTTTATTTTGTTCACTTTTTGTAGCTACCTCCTTCAAATTCCTTTGACAACCTGAGAATGTCTTACAGTTGAACGTAATATTAATTACATTTCAAAGCAAACCTTTATTCATTTGGGGGCAATCTGTGAAACAGAAATCTGTGACTGAAGCTGTTGCCAAGCCAATTACTGCAAAATAACTCAAATATGTCTCGACAGATTGCATTTTTCCTATTGTAAGATTGTTTATTTTGTAGACCAAAAGGCTACATTCACTTTAATTAAAAAGATCTTACTCACATAGTTAAATATATCAGCCCTTCCCTGGGACTATATATGGGTTTATGTATAGACAGGGTGTGATAATGAAAATCTCTGGAATTTTATTTTAACTGCATAATTCTTTTTTTTTTTTCTTTTTTTCTTTTTTTTTTTTTTGTTATGTGTTTCTAGGCTTTCTTTATGTCAAGGCATCCTTTGTATGAACAAGTCGAAGTAGAAAGAACTAATCAGCACTGAAGACTAGAGTGCAAAGAAATTATTCAGTGCTCAAAGAAATCCACCCTAGGCACAATCACATTGCATCGCACATGCAGAAGAGAGTGGTGAATTGCAACAAGTTCAGTGGGAATAAGCACTTGATATTCAGATGCTTATCGGAATGATTCAGATTTCTTAGTACCATACAACAAGGCTGGGAATTTTCATTTTTATTTTATTTTTTCTGAAGTTCCTGAAACACTGTTGTACGATGTTTTATAAATATCCTTTTCTCTTCAGTATGAAATAACATCAGTCAATATATTGATTTTCAGAAGAAAGAAGAAATTTTAACAATTGTGAGCTCTATCTTTTGAACATGTAATGAACTGTCATCACTTATTTGTGTTTTTGTAGTTTTGCAATTCAAAATAAAAAAGATGGTCTTGGTCAGTCACGGTGGCTCACACCTGTAATCCCAGCACTTTGGGAGGCCGAGGCGGGTGGATCACCAGGTCATGAGATCAAGACCATCCTGGCCAACATGGTGAAACCCTGTCTCTACTAAAAATACAAAAATTAGCTGGGTGTGGTGGCGCACACCTGTAATCCCAGCTACTCAAGAGTCTGAGGCAGGAGAATCACTTGAATCCAGGAGGCAGAGGTTGCAGTGAACCAAGCTCATGCCACTGCACTCCAGCCTGGAGACAGAGTGAGACTTTGTCTCAAAAACAAACAAACAAACAAACAAACAAACAAACAAACAAGATGGTCTCATAGCTCCAAGTATCATCATCTTTTAATTTTTTTAAGAATATATTTAGCTTTAAACATATAAAAAATATTTAAACCCATAAAGAGTCTGTAAAAAAATTTCTTTATGCCTAAAGACCCCCTTTGTCTTTAACAATATCTACCGAATGATTATTTAATCTTTCACTTCAGGGGTTTTGATAACATTTAAGGAGAAATTCTGCAGTTAATTTGGCAGGAAAAGGAATCTCAATGGTGCATGTTCAGGGAAGTTCGAGTTTTAAACAAGTGTGATACCAGCCAGGGGAAGCATGATGGCAAATGTGTGAATAACACAAAGTAGGCAAGAAAACCATGAACTCAGCAAACTTTCCCCACTCCAGTTACACTTGCTGGAACTTTGGATTATAGCCAGGCTCCCCTTTTTTTCAGTAGACTGGGTGAGAAGTCTCAATGCATATTGCCAGGGCTTTCAGCACTGTTGACCAATGCAGTCCCCAAGTTCCCCGCCTTGAGTGAATTTCAACAATGCTGCGCCTGCTTGCTACATGCTGTGGTTTGAATATTTGTCCCCTCCAAAACTCGTGGGGAAATTGAATCCCCAATATGGCAGTATGGAGAGCCTTTAAGAGGTGATTGGGTCAGGAGGGCTTTGTCTCATGAATGGATTAATCTATTTGTCAATCAGGGGATTAATGGGTTATCACGGGAGTGGGACTGTTGTCTTCATATAAAGAAGAGAGACCTGAGCCAGTACACCAGCATGTTCAGCCCCCTTGCTGTGTGATACCCTGTGCTTCCTTGGGATGTCCAGGGAGTCCCTACCAGCAAGAAGGCTCTTAGCACAGATGCCTCTAGACCTTGGACTTCTCAGGCTCCAGAACTGTAAGAAGTAAATTTTGTTCCCTTGTAAATTAGATGGTAAATTGTCTATCCATCTTCTATTGCTATAGATTCGGGTGGTGTTACTGGTCTACAAAGCCTTGGGGTTCTATGACATTTTTCTGCTCTGGGCTTTTTCCCACTCCTGGCAGGGTATCAGACTTAGGAAACTTATGTATCTCCATTTCTGCAGGAGATGATGTGAGTCACTCACAAACAGAAATGATTGATTTCTCATTCCCTCCCTTGTTTTATCATATGGGGCCAGGGGTGCGGGGAAGGTATTAGTCAGCTGGGGCTACCTTAAGAAAATAACATAGATTGGGTGGCTTAATAAAAAATACTGATTTTTCACAGTTCTGGAAGCTGGAAATCCATGATCAAGGTGCCCACTGATTTGGTTTCTGGAGAGGGTTCTCTTCGTAGCTTGCAGAAAGCTGCCGTTTTCAGTGTGTCCTCATCTTGTGGACAGCAGGCCAGCTCCAGTGTCTTTTTTTTTTTTTTTTTTTGAGACGGAGTCTCGCTCTGTCACCCAGGCTGGAGTGCAGTGGCACTATCTCTGCTCACTGCGACCTCCGCCTCCTGGCCTCAAGCAATTTCCTGCCTCAGCCTCCTGAGTAGCTGGGATTACAGGCAGCCACCACCATGCCCGGCTAATTTTTGTATTTTTAGTAGAGACGGGGTTTCACCATGTTGGCCAGGCTGGTTTTGAGCTCTTGACCTCAAATGATCCACCAGGCTCAGCCTCCCAAAGTGCTGGGATTACAGGTGTGAGCCACCCCGCCAGGCCATCCAGTGTCTTTCTCTTCCTATCAGGACCCTAATCTCATCATGGGGGCCCCACCCTCATGAAATCATTTAGACCTAATTACCTAGCAAACGTCCCACCTTCAAATACCAGAATATTGGGAACTGGGGCTTCAGCATATGAATTCATTGGTGGAGGGGAGCACTAAGATTTAGTCCATAACAAAGACAATTTTTATACTGCTCCCTTCTGCCTCTTCATGTAAAGCTATCCCACAGGGGCTGTGCATATCTTAGATCTCACACTAGACAAATTTATATGCTGGTTCTGCACCATACCCTCTTTCTCTCTCTTTGGAGCTAGAGAATTAGAGAGAAGATTTGAATTGCAAATAAGTCACTTGGATTTTTGAAATCTGTAACTGTGATCTAAGCCTTTCTGACCACAGGCCCCCAAGAGTGCACCTTTGTGTTTCTGGTGGTCAGTGGAATACAAGCAACATTCAGCCATATAAAACAGGATTCCAAAAATAATCCCCCTATTTGGAAAAAGAAATGTTGTAACTATCAGCCAACTTGGAAATAGGTCAATATACTAAATAAAACAATCTCTATTCTATACACATTGCTGAAGAATGTGAGGTATTTATAGCTATACCTAGTGTCTCCCTTCAAAATGTATAGCACTCTTTGAAAATCCATGTAATCATTTCAGAATCCCAGGGAAGAAATTAAAAAATTGGGAGAGTCATAAATAATCAATCTTCACTTCAGAAAGACGGAGCAATGACTAACCTAAAATATGTCCATTTACATATGCATGTGCATGGCAGCCTTGAGCTTGCAGGACTCAAATGTCCTTTCAGGAGAGGACCAGCTGCAAGGGGGTACTTAGCGATAGCATCCAGCAGCTGCACCTGTAGAAACCACCACAGGGTTAGGGCCAAAGCCTCAATCCCCACAGGGACTGGGCATGGAAGGAATAGTAGATTCAGCCATGCAGAACTCTTGCCATCTTTACTCTGGGTCTCACCATCAGCCTGGCTGACAAATCCTCAGAACTGCAACATAGTCTGAGATTATTTTACCCTCTCCACTCTGTCCTTCCCTCTCTTTGTTCTGATGTCACACTAGCATTGCAGAGTGAAGGTTCTCTTGCCCAATCCTGCTTTTTCTTCCCTTTATTATTTATAGATGTTTATTTACCCCGAAGAATTTCTTGCATTGCCAATTCCACCAAGGCAAAGGTTTCCCAGAGGACCAGAATTGACAGTGTGTATTACACCTACATATAGATACATATATGTATGTATACATTGATACCCATGTATACATTTACATATGTTTATGTGTGTGTGTTTTTTGTAGACATACATAGGCATGTGCACATATGTTCACAAATGCACACATAAACATGCACTTATTCAACCCAGAGTCCTTGGAAGGAATGACATTCTGAAAGTTGGAACAACTAACCTTCTCACACAGATATGTATGTTAGAGAAAATACAGTATTTTTTTCACTGTCTTGATAAATACTCTTATCGATAGGCAAGAACCCAAGTACTTATGTGGGGGGTGGCAGACCATGAAATTTATTAATGGCATTGTTATTTAAAGTCATTATTAAAAAGTCAAAGTGAAAACTAAACTAAAACCCAATAGGTAAATAACCAATAGATCTAGTCTATTCCATTACAGGAAAAAGTCTTATTTGGGGTTTAGTGGGTAGGACTTCTTGGAGTATATGAATTTTTCAGTTTTTAACTGGCATTTGTTGATGTTATTTGGATTCAACTTCTATGAATAATCTCTTCTAAGTATGTAACCAAGGACTAAGGCTGACCTGGAATAAGAATGACTATCTTCACTCAAATAGAAGTTCACATTTATCAAATTATTTCAAGAATCTTTTGATATGTTGTCCTTGAACATGGATAGATTTCAGGCTACTCATGACATTTACATTAAATTTCATCTGATGGTATGTTGATGACCATCAACCTTTTGATTAAAAATTTATTATTTTGAAATTACATTATGTTGAAAATTTCTAAAACCACACAAAAACATTTTGCCCAAACAGGATATTTGGGGGATGGTCTTTAAATATAATATAATTCCATATAATATTTATCTCTGCATGTTAGAGTGAAGTTTATTCTCATCCTAATTTAAAATAGTCTTATAAATTGAGTATTGATGTGAGAAGTAATTTCGATAATATTTTTAAAGGTACCCTTGTAGAAATGCAATGGATTGATACTTTTCATATTTTACATCAATTAGTTTTTATATAAAATATATTTACTTTTTATCTTATGCAAATATATTTTATATAAATTTAATTAATATCAAATCTTGCAGTTTTTTTCTTTGAAAATGTCCAATTTACCTTTTTCTCTTTAACTGTTTACATGGAAGTCTAGCCAAATTTATACAATTAAAATAATTTCTATGAAGTTCGATTTTGCAATGAATGGGTACATTAGGCAGAAGCCCTTTTAAAATCTGAATTTCTCAGGGTTTTTCTCGAGCATTCTTGATTCAACATGCATGACTTGAACTTGGAAATTTCTATTACCCTTAATCAGAAAAGATGTAGTCCATATGTTGATTAGGAAATATGCTTTCTGAACATGTGCTTTTACAAACAGAAAGAAAAATATATTTCATGCAATTTCAAACTTTTTAAATGCCAAAAGATGAAAAAAAAAAAAGCGTCAGGGACTTTTTCAATGCCCATTGAGTGTAAGTTAAAAGGTTTTGTAAAATATTTACATAAAAGCAAATTTGTTATCTTTAGGCCAATCTGATCCTGCTATGAGAGAAAAATATTATGTGTTTTTCCTCAGTGTACTCTATTGAAAATTAGTTTATGTCTGCACACTAGCAGATGCTAAGTTATTTTAAAGAGAAAGGAATGTAAGTCAGAGGATAGTATAATGAGAACTGTGCCTTCTTCCCCTCTCTCATCACTGGCCCTCAGGATTCCAACATTCTCTTTATTAGCTTTGGGAGACAGCATGGTTCAGGTTGGTTGTTCAAGGGGTAAAATAGTACATGTACATCATAAAACATTTGCAAATTTTTTTTGAGAGAGAAAGAGCATATTTTAAAAGCTGATAAAATTCTCAAACTCTCTCTTATCCTGGACTTCAAACAGTTCTTCAAAAATCCAAACGCAAAGAATGTCTAAATGAAACATATTCGGGGATTTTTGAAGTTATAGGTGCATAATATGTGAACCAATCATGGAATAAATATTTGAAAAGTTTTGGGAAAAATTATCTCAGCAGTTTCCTCTTCCATGATTGACACTTCTGCCCTGTGTAGCTGAGTATACTTAGACAAATACACTACTGGCAAGATATATTCTCTGAAAGTCTATGGATTGAAGGGCTGCAAACAGCTAAAAACAGTATTTGAAAAAATGGGACTGGGAACCCAGTAGCTTGGGCACAGTTTCAAAAAACAATTGTTTCACAGTTAAACATTAGAATCACTCAAATACCTACAGTAATTTGGAGAATTATCTCACGATGATCTGGAAGATCATTATCTGAGTGGGTTAAGCAAACATATCTGTGAATCTCTGCCTCTGCTTCAGCATTAAAAGAAGTCTGGGGTCTTTCATCAAACATGATTTTAATGCTGTTATGGATTGAATGTCTGTGTTTCCTTCAAATGTATATGTTGAAGTCCTAACCCCTAATACGGTGGTATTTGAAGATGGGAAAATTGAGGCGATTAGGATTAGTTGAAGTCCTGAGGATGGGGCACTCATGATGGGATTAGTGCCCTTAAAAGAAGAGACACCAGAGAGCTTTTTATTCTTTGTTTCCACTCACACATACCAAGGAAAGACCATGTGAGGACAGAGCAAGAAGGCCACCATCTGCAAGCCAGGAAGAGAGCCCTCCTCAGGAGCCCAAATGATTGGCACTTTGATCTTGTGCTTCCCAGCCTCCAGAACTATAAGAAATAAATTTCTGTTTAAACCACTCATTCTATGGTATTTTGTTATGGCAGTCCCAGCTAATATAAATACATTTTTTCCCCTTTGGTTCACCAATGTATTATTTTTATTATTTAAATTAAAAAAGAAAATTATATAAGCTCTATATTTATATTAACTTTTACTGAAGTAAAACCTAAAATAATAACCAATCTGATTTTAGGGGTTTGACAGAACTTTGATTAATGTAAGCCTTTTTCTAAAAAGGAGCAGAGAATAGAGAAAAGACCAAAAAAGGTGATCGTGTGTATTAGTGTACAAATAATCTAGATTAGTGTCAATGGGGTGAAGAATATTTTAGCCAGATCTCCCTCACAACCAAGGTATATTTCCCAGAAGGCCTCTTGGCTGTAACAGTCAATATATACATGCTTGTCCACAAGCCTTCTCCACTGGTTATGCCTCTGTTATTTGCTATTCACACACTAATGTTCCTTTGACTTCTGTTCTTGCCAGAGCCTATTGCTATTTGTAGCCCCACATAAAACGCATAAAATGCTTAAGCAGTGTGGGGGGATGTGGAACATTCAAGGATAATATATGCTAGAGTAACCGCAAATAAGGGACTTCTACAAAAGATGGAGGGGCACTTTTCCTTATCACTCTCAATCTGAAAAATATTTATACTTTTATTCATTTCTATGTTTATATTTTTCTTGTCAAAGCCTAAGCTGAGCACTTTTTTTAAGATTCTTCATGTAAAAGAGAGCCAATATAATCAGGACTGGCTGAAGAAATAGAAGATTGATTGTTTCATGTGCTGAGTACACTTGGGTTAGGGTAGGTTCAAATACAATTGAATTCATGGCTTAAATGAGGCATTCAGAACTCTTTCTTCCATGGTAATTTCAAATTCAGTCTCCATGATCTAGCAAGACGGCAGCAGTAGTCCTTAGTTTCACTTGTTAGCTTCCCATCCATACAGAGATGCAATTTGCCACTGTTTCAGAGAGTTCAGCAAAATTCTCATGATGACTTTTAATCTCTGAAATGATAATGTATGCAGCTGTGAACCAATCACTGTGGCCTAGGGGCTAGGGGAATCTAATTCACCAAGCTTGAGTGACTTACTTTCCTTAGGTTCACCACAATCATATTGACTGAGGTTGGGGTTGGGTGGGCTTTCTAAATGAAAACCACCTATTAGCAAAGCCCAGCAAATGGATTCCTGTTGACTCATATGCAAACATCTCCCATAGCCCAATGATCCTGGCTCCCTTTTAACACATATATTTCTTCCTTCATATTCCATAGAAACAAATACTTTTATCTTCCTAAGATTCACCCATTTCCTCTAAAAAGGAGATGAGGTGGTTTTCCAGTTCTAAGTTTACAATCTTTGAGTAATGTGCAGTTCTTTCCATCAAGTATAGATGTAGCCCGAGGCACTTAAAGAAAGAAAGAGAGAAGGGAAAAAATGCACCATTTCCTACGTGAGATGGAAAGGAGTTTGGACCGTCTTGCCTCTTGAGTCCTCTGGACACATGGTGAGAACCCACTGGCAGTGGAGGGTGTTTGTTAGGTGAGCCCAAGGCTTGGCCTAGGTGCTGTCTTTCAGGGGCAGCTTCCTGAATTAATATCTTTCCTTCTCATATCTAAGATAAAATGTGGTGATAAGGTATTTTGACATACAATAGAAAACCTAAAAATTACCTTGGTGGCATTAAAAAAATTCATTGATACGGTGGACAAACAAATCTGTGACATAGGAAAACAAACTTGAGGATAGAGTACTGAAGATGGTAAACAAATACTACAGGGATATAACACTGTGAGAGAAAAAGGAGAGAGGAAACACTCAGTCCAGGAATTGCACAGTTTCTATGAAACTCTTGGAATGAAAAATATTAAAAATCAATTGAGAAAATCAATTATCAATTAAATAATTAAAGAAAACTTTTTTAGGTTGAAAAAGATTAATATGTAAAGACAACCTTTTGTGAATTTGGCAAAAAAAGATGAAAAAATAAAAGATACATCTATCCATGCATACTGGTGAAATGTTGAATAACAGGGATAAAGAACTGTACACCTAGGGATTAAATAAATAAATATATATGTATATGTATATACAAATTATTTAAACACTAAAAACAGATAATCTGTTATTCCTAAAAAATTGAAAACTATAAATTAAGCTTCCTCAAATGTCATCTATGAAATATAAAGTATGAAGGTATACTATGGAGCAGGTTCACTTTCTTTCTTTTCTTTTCTTTTCTTTTTTTTTTTTTTTTTGAGACGGAGTCTCACTTTGTCACCCAGGCTGGAGTGCAATGGTGTGATATTAGCTCACTGCAACCTCTGCCTCCCATGTTCAAGTGATTCTCCCACCTCAGCCTCCCGAGTAGCTGGGACTACAGGCACATGCCACCACACCCAGCTAATTTTTGTATTTTTAGTAGAGACAGGGTTTCATTATGGTGGCCAGACTGGTCTGGAATGGCTGACCTTGAGATCCACCCACCTCGGCCTCTCAAAGTGTTGGGATTACAGGTGTGAGCCACTGTGCCCAGCCAGTTCAGTTTCAATGGCA
This sequence comes from Homo sapiens, assembly GCF_000001405.40. NCBI lineage: Eukaryota > Metazoa > Chordata > Mammalia > Primates > Hominidae > Homo > Homo sapiens. Next base: position 9,889,979 of record NC_000010.11, on the reverse strand, counting down.
GAGAAATGGGTCATGATCAGAGGCTTTTACACATGCATGCTTAAAACTAACTAAAAGTAATAAAACGAGAGCTATAATCATCCTAACGCAAAAACGAAAACAGTACTTAGAGCTCAGTATTCATTAGTCTCTGTTCTAAAACGTTCACATGTAGCATTGACTTGTTTAATACTACATGTAAGTATTATTTTTATACTAATTTAATCAATGAGTTCAATTCCAAGAAAAGTTAAAGAACCAAGGCCACCCTGCTAATGCATGAAGGAACTGGCACTAAATACAGGCTTTCTGGCTCCAGAGTGCTATGTATGCTAAAATACGGAGTTTGAGTGTTGATTTTGGAAAAAACACCTAAAGATGCACTCTACGCGAATGAAAGGTGAATTGAATTTAGTAATTTAGTATCGTAAATTTTGGAAATACTAAAGGACTTCTACCTCTGGCTTGACCATTGACAATGGATTTTGTGGCCCAGGGGTAATGTACATACAATGAAAAATAGGAAGAGTGAAAAATCTGGAAAGAATTACAACCAAGTTTTAACATAGATCGCTGTTGAGTATAGAAATGATTATCTTCCTCTGATAATTTTCTGTATTTTTCTTTTTCTATTGGTTAGCCATGAGTGCCTTTATAACAGCAAGAAGAAACTATTTTATAACTTTCATAACATGACAGTTAAACTCTTTCGATGTGCTTCACTATTTGTGTGATTTGTCTTGTACTGTTGTCTTTTGCACCGTCATCATAGGGTATGTTTGAACGTTAGCTGTAAGCCTATGCCAGAGAACCATTGGTTGGTCCCATTGTACCACTGTCATGGGTTGTCTGATGTTAAGGAAATGTAGCCATATTTCTTGTGCTGAACAGATGTTAAGGGAATAAAAAGCCCGGCATAGGTGGATATGTGTGGAAGAATAAATATCTTGGTTTGTGTTTGCTTCTCTGATGTTTCATTTAATTGCTTATTTTATTTTGACTTGCCTTTGATATATCCAATGAAGAGCAAATTCTTCTTGAAGGACAAAATACAGGGTTTTTTTCACAGAGGTAGATACGTTGATCTTTTTGATATTGTCTCTCTCTTCAGAAAATTAATAGACATTTCTAAAATAAGCCTACACTCATTTTTCTTTACAAAAATAACAATATAAGGTCACATATGAAAATATATGAAATCACAGCATGGTTTATAGTCTGGCCCATCCTAGCGGGAATCTTATCATTAGCCTCAAAAGATTTCTACAGAGATTAGGCCTTGTTTCTTGATACTTTCCTAAAACAAATTGTTATAGGGTCCCAATATGGTAAAATTCCATTCAAAGACCTATTCATGGGTGAAAAGGGGTTCCTGGAAAATCCACTGTTTCTAAAATTATATACTGGTGGAGAAGGATAACTTGTACATAACACATTCTATCTTAACAGGATTGTGCTTTTAGTTAGAGTCTGTTTAAAATCATAAATATCCAGAGTGCCAAATTTAGTAATTTTATGTGGATTAGTAAGAGAACTAAAAAATATATCAGGTGATAAAAGGTTTAAGCTTGCATTAGTACATCAGATCTGGATTGAACCTTTCCAATATATGTAGAAGCAAGATAAAATGGAAATCTTGCATTTCTTTTTGCATGAATTATTTATTCCCGATCTTAAACTCTGCTTATTTTACTGCTTGAAGTGACTTCCTTTGCTGTTTCCTTTTTGGAAATCCTAGTTCAGCTAGAATAGAACAATGAGGAACATATTTTCTAATGAGATTGTTTTTCCCAAAATCTAAAATATGGTGATAGCGCATATGTGAATTGGATTGTCATTTCACTGTAAATAAATTTGCTTGCAACCCTTTGTCGAAGTCTGGAGAGGAATTTAAATATGTCTTTATATATTTCTATATATAACTCTATGGAGTATTGTGTCATTTTAAACAAAATTTCATGGAGGATATAAAATCTTTAGATAATGTACATAATATAAAATTACATATATATTTTAATATATATGTGATTAATCTCCTCTGAACTATAATAATACATTACAGAAAAAAGACATGTTCTGCAACAGCACAAAAAGAAGGCACCCCACTAACAAGAAACTATCTTGGTACTTAAGAAGCTTACTAATGTCAAGATGTATTGTGCTAATTAGAGACAGGAGTATGTTATATAGACAGGATAAGAAAATTTCTTAGACACCTAATGACATCATCTCTAAGTAGAATGTTTGGTTTTGCCTTATGCCTTGCACTGCATAGGTGGGGAATATGATTATGTGGTTTCAATACGTGAAAACAAACATCAATGGCCAGGAAACTAACCCTACATAACCTCAGTCTAAGGGGATGGGAGATTGTGGATAGAAAGCATCCTCCCCAGAGAGGCACATGTAATATGAAAACAAAGCAAAACAAAACGTTTTTGAGGAGCAGGTGGAAGACTGGTTGCAACTGGAGCATAAATAAAACACACGCATTATTGCATTGCAGAGCTGGGAGGAAGAAGTGGAGCTCTCTAAGGTTCTAAAATGCAAACAAAACAACAGCATGGGAAAGAAAAATAAAATAAAATTAGTGAAATAAAACAAGAACAAAACCCAACGATATGTTGTTTAAAAAAAAACAGAACTAAAATATAAGAACATGTAAGGATTCAATTTAAAAGACCAAAACAAACAAAACAAAACTACAGTAACACCAACCTAAAGCAAGCTGACATAATGATACTACCATGAAACAAAAATTAAATTTAACTACAAAATCCATTATTAGGGACAAAAGCTCATGTTGACCATATGAACTATTGCAAGTTTCATGCATCTAAAATATTTTAAAAATAAATAAAGCAAAACTGATATAAATATAAGAAAAAATGGACAAAAGCATCATCATGGTGGGAGGTTTCAACATTCTTTGAATAATTATTTGTAAGTAAAGCAAACAAAGAGTTAGTGAAGCTGTAGAGGATTTATTTGAACACCATAACTAACACGAGTGACCATATGCACATATTTATAAGTCTCTATGAAATTATATATACTTGCATACATCAGTTTGTTGCATGTCACTTTACTGTGCTTTGCAGATACTGCTTTTTTCACAAGTTGAAGGTTTGTAGCAATCCTGCACTAAGCAATTCTATCAGCACCATTTTTCCAGTAGTGTGTGCTCAGTTTGTGTAAAATTCTGGTGATTCTCACAGTATTCAAACTCTTTCATTACTATTATATCTGCTATGATGATCTGTGATCAGTGGTCCTTCATGTTACTATTGTAATTATTTTGGGCCTCCATGAATTGCACCCACATGAGCAGTAATCTTAATTAATATTGTGTGTGTTCTGACTGCCCCCAATGACCTAAAATTCCTCCATCTCTCACCCTCTCCTTGGGCCTCCCTATTTCCTGAAGCATACTAATATTGAAATTAGGCCAGTTAGCGGGGTTGGGGGCTAGGGGAGGGGTGGCTTTGGGAGAAATACCTAATGTAGATGACAGGTTGATGGGTGCAGCAAATCACCATGGCACGTGTATACCTATGTAACAAACCTGCATGTTCTGCACATGTACTCCAGAACTTAAAGTAAAATTAAAAAAAATAATAAATTTGATCTTTTTCCACATATAAAAAAAGAAATTAGGCCAATTAATAACCCTACAGTGGCCTCTAAGTGTTCAAGTGAAGCAGAGTTATACATTACTCATTTTAAATAAAAAAGCTAGAAAGAAGTAAGTATACTGAGAAGTAAGTAACCTGAGATAGGCTGAAAGCTACACCTCTTGCACCAAACATTTAGCCAAGTTATGAATGCAAAGGAAAAGTTGTTGAAGAAAATTGAAAGTGCTGCTCTCCTGAACACATGAATGATAACAAAGTGAAATAGGCTTATTGCTGATACGGAGAAAGTTTGAGTGATCTGGATAGAAGACCAAACCAGCCACAGCATTTCCTTAAATCAAAGCCTCATCCAGAGCAATACTCTAACTCTCTTCAATTCTATGAAGGCTGATAGAGATGAGGAAGTTGCAGAATAAAAATGGGAAGTTAGAAGAGGTTGATTTATGAGTTTTTTTAAAGCCATCTCTATAACATAAAAGTGCAAGGTGAAGCAGCGAGTGCTGATGGAGAAGCTGCAGCAAGTTACACAGAAGATCTAGCTAAGGTAATTGAAGGTGGTTACACCAAACGGCAGATTCTACTCAGTTTAGACAAAAGAGCCTTCTGTTGTTAGAAGATGTCACCTAGGACTTTTGTAGCTAGAGAGGGAAAGCCCAAGCCTGGCTTCAAAGTTTCAAAGAACAAGCTAACTTTTTATTAGGGGCTAATGCAGCTCATGACTTTAAGTTGAAACCAATGCTCATTTACCCTTCTGAAAATTTTATGGCCCTTAAGAATTATGCTAAATTTACTCTACCTGTGCTCTATAAATAGATGACAGCACAACTGTTTAAATCATGGTTTACTGAATATTTTAAGCTGACGGTTGACAAAAATATTCCATTCAAAATATTACTATTTATTGACAATGCACCTGGTCATTCAAGAGCTCTGATGGAAATATGCAAAGAGATAAATATTGTTTTCATGTCTGCTAACCATGGAGTCCTTGGATCAAGGGGTCATTTTGACTTTCAAGTCTTATTATGTAAGAAATATATTTTGTAAGGCCATAGCTGCCATAGACAGCACTTCTTCTGATGTATTTGGACAAAGTAAATTAAAAATCTTCTGGAAAGGATTCACCCTTCTAGATGCCATTAAACACATTCATGATTCATGGGAGGAGGTCAAAACACCAACATTAAGAGGAGTTTGAACAAAGTGGATGCCAACCCTCATGTATGATTTTGACAGGCTCAATACTTCAATGGAGGAAGTAAATAAAGTATCAGAAATAGCAGGAGAACTAGAATTTGAAGTGGAGCCTGAAGATGTGACTCAATTGCTGTAATCCCAGAATAAAACTTGAGCAGCTGAGGAGCTACTTTTTATGGATGAGCAAAGAAAGTCATTTCTTAAGATGGAGCCCGTGCCTGGCGAAGACGCTGTGCACATTGTTGAAATGACAGCAAACGATTTTGAATATTCCATAAACTTAGTTGATAAAGCAGCCCCAGGGTTTGAGAGGATTAACTCTCAATTTGAAAGAGGTTCTACTGTGGGTAAAATGCTATAGAGCACCATCTCATGCTACAGAGAAATTATTGAAGAAGAAAAGCCAGTTAATGCAGCAAAATTCATTGCTGTCTTATTTTAAGAAATTGACACAGCCACCTCAATCTTCAGTAATCACCACCTTGACCAGTCACGACTCCAGCAGCAAAAAGGTTACGACTCACTGAAGGCTCAGATGACTTTTAGCATTTTTCAGCCATAACGCATTTTTAAATTCAGTTATGTATTTTGTTTTTTGGACATAATGCTATTGCACATTTCATGGACTAGAATATAGTGTAAACATAACTTTGATATGCAGTAGGAAATGAAAAAACATTGTATATTTTCTTTATTGAGGTAGTCAGAAACTGAACCCACATCTCTGATGTGTGCCTGTGTTCTTCTCAAGCACAGATGGATATTTTTTCAAATGACCGTTTACATAGAACAAGTCAATAAATTATTAAAAATGGGTATGCAATGACCATATTGCAATTAAGTAAAAATTAGTACCAAATGTAACATTTAAAAAAATCATAAGTTGAGAATTTGGAATACACAAATAAACAACTTGTGGTAGGAGACATTATCATATGAATTTTAAAATACTTTCATCTTTATTAATAATAAAAATAGTTTAGATTAAATTTGTGAAGTAAAGACAGAAAAGGATTCCTATCACTATGTATAGTGAGTGTTAATGATAGCTCAAAATGAATTAGCTGCAAAATTAGTATTTTCAACAGAATAAATTCAAAGAAGTGGAAAGGGGGAGAAAATAAACATAAGAACAGAAATTAAAGAATAGAAAACAAACCTACACTAGCACTGATCACCAGAGTAAACGGTTGGTATTTTATGAAGACTAATATGATAGATAAGCCTCTGTTGAGATTGATAAGGAAAAAGAAGAAAGGGATGAGTAAATAGTATTAGGTATGGAAAGAGAGGCCATGACTACTTATACACCAGGATTTGGAAAGATATCCAAGGCATTTCCAGGTTCTTGATAAAGGATTATTATGTAGTAGTACAAGTAACTCTCTTGCGATAAGAAACAACAACAAAAACCTGGAGGGAATAGAAAATAAAAACCACTCTATAGTGTTCATGGCCCAACAAAATAGTGACAGATTCCTAGGCAGGAATTTATAAAAGAGCCTGAACAGGTGATACTGAGAGGTTTCAGTCCTAGGAGTACGTAGTCCAGGAAAAGCAGTTAAGTGTCTCAGCCCTTTCTTGTTAATGACTTGATGCAATGGGGCAGATGTCAGAGTCAAGAGTTGTTAGGAGATAGGAACCTGTATGACCTGAATATGGCTCTTCTCTGAATAGTATGCTTCATTCACCTTACATGCAACCAAGATTTGCAGTTTTTCACAACAGGACATATGTTTATCTCAGGAGATATCTACAAGGTTAACCTACTTGGTGGATAACATGTGCTGAAAGAGCTTGGTTAGAGTTTTCCACCCTCTCAATGCACAAATCCTAGAATACAATCCCCACTCCATATCTGGACTTAAAAGACTCTCCAGGCTGTACTCAGCATTGTTTTGCCAACATAGAAAAAAATCCAGCCTTGGTCCTGGCAGAAGGAAACAAAAATTCTTCCTGTAGGAGACTAATATTATCTGACATCTCAAATTATATATAAAAGTAATTTAAGATGTATTTTCTGTAGCTGCTGTTTTACAGAAAATATCTTATTTATATGTGTGCGTATATGTGTGTGTGTGTGTATTAATCTTACACCAACCATTTTCTAAGAACTGCTATTAATTCTAACATTTTCTGTATATAATTTGGAGTTTTTCAAATATACAATATTATATTCAAATAATAGTTGCTTTATTTCTTTTCAAATTCTTACACATGTATTTATTTTTCTTGCCTTATTACATTTGCTGAGGCTTCAAGTAAAAGATTGAATAGAAGTACTAGTCTCTTTTTTATATTAAATGAAACCCTTCATGTACCATTTAAAGTACATAGGCTGTGGGTTTTTTTTAGGGATATGCTTTACAAGATTAAGAAATGTCCCTTAACTCCCAACTTGTATTATTATTAGTTGCATCTATTGAGATGAACATACGTACTTTACTCCTTTACTTTGAAAATGAAGTGACTTATTTTACAAAGCCATGTTCTTATCCACCATGCCCCACTGCTTATACATCCTAAAAAGGACGTATAATACTTTTACAAGGTGGGGTTTTGGCCTAACTATTTTTTACTAGATTTCAATCAGGGAGTTAACTCTTCTAGCAAAATACATGATATGTAAAATCTCCCCTCCCGTTGTATCAGCAGAATCACAACATACTCAGATTTTACATGGAGATATTACAGACCACAGAAGGCAGAACACAAATCATTCAGAATAAAGCGCACAGAAAGAGAGTGGATCTACAGTGCCACTCACACATCCAGAGAAACTATTTATGTGTAATAGTAATTAGAGGAAAACTATTGACATGGCATAATGAGAGAGAGAGAGAGAGAGAGAGGAGAGAGCTCCTCCCCTAGCTATAAAATAAAGCAGGATGTAGTGTTACATTTTAGGAATTCTTTATTCATTAAAATAATATATGAATTTATTGCCTTGCAGAGCCTTTTGTAACAACAGTAATACATTCTAGTCTCCTCTCAGAGGTTATCAATGATGTTAGCTTTGTATATGTCCTTAGATAAATCGTACGTATAATGACAAACATATATGAATGTAAAAAGGTATTATATTTGTGGATTTCAAAAATATGGATATAATATTGTACTTGATTTATGTTTTAAACATAAGAATATGTTTGGAGACCTCCAGGTATTTTTATAGCTGCATAGTAACCTACAATATGTGTATTCTGTAGTTTATTAAATTGTTCTTTCAGTGATGGTCTCATTGAAGTTGTTTTCATGTTTCCACTATTGTAACAGTCAATGAATTTTCTTGGACATATCTCTGTATTCATGAACAATTCTTCTAGGGTAGATACCTCAAAGTAGACTTCTTGGACTATGGAATTATGACACTTAACATTTAATAGATAATCCCAAATTCACAGTAACATGAGATAATCCACTTATGTACATTCTCACTTACAGTTGATATTATTTGATTTTTAAAATTTGGTATAACTCTCATCTCATTGTTTTGATTTGTACTTTCTTGATTACTAAAAGGTTGACCATATGGTATTTATGGTTATTTTTCTTTTATTTTCTCTGAATTGTCTGATCATGTCAAATATTTGTTATGATTTTTACATTTTTATTATCTCTTATGGGTTTTTCCTATCCCAAGTTTTTAAACATTGGTGGTGAGCATAGCTGCCTTCCAGGTTTGTAAACATTCTTTTGTTAACACAATTTTAATAGTTTTAAAGATTTTTCTGAAGCATGTTTTTAAAAATATGCTTTAAAATATTAATAGAATATTTTAGAGTATTTTAAAATAATAATTTAACTTTGTTTTATTTTTCCAAAAGAACAGCCACTTAGGCTAACGCCATTAATTCAGTTATCTGTCCTATCACCAGTGACTTGAAAATGCTATTTCTATCACACACTAAATTATCTCACATACACTGAACACACATAAAACATGTTGGTCTATGTTGTAGACTCTACTCAGTTCCATTGGTCAATTACTATATTTGTGTCCTAATACCAAATTGTTTTAGTTACAATTGTTTTATAATATGTTTTTCCCACAGAATGTTTATAAAATCTGGTGAATATCCATAATATCATCAAGGAGATCAGATAGATGATAGCCAGATAGACAGATAGATAGGTATGCAGACAGACAGACATGGACAGGCAGATAAATAAATGGACAGACAGACGGATAGATAGGTAGAGAGACAGACAGACAGATAGATACATAGATAGATAGACAGACACACAGATAGGCAGATAGACAGACAGACCAAAAGATAGATACATAGATACATAGATAGATAAATAGAGATAGAAAGATAGATACATACATACATACATAGATACATAGACAGATGGACAGTTAGACAGATAGGCAGACACAGACAGACACACACACACAGAGACAGATAAATAGACAGATTGACAGGCAGACAGACAGATAAACAGAAAGATAGGTAGAAAGACAGATTGATAGGCAGGCAGACATATAGATAAATAGAAAGATAGGTAGATAGCTAACAGACAGATAGACATATAGATAGACAGACAGACAGAAAGATGTATAATTAGATAGACGGGCAGATAGGTAGATAGATGGACAGACAGACAAATAGATAATCAGACAGACTGATAGGCAGACAGACAGACAGATAAATAGAAAGATAGGTAGATAGATAACAGAAAGATAGATGTATAGATAGACAGATAGACAGATAGATAAATGTAGAATTAGGTAGATAGATGGGCAGATAGGTAGATAGATGGACGAACAGAAAGACAGATATACAGATAGATAGATAGACGTAGAATTAGGTAGATAGCTGGGCAGATAGGTAGATAGATGGACGAACGGATAGACAGATATACAGATAGATGAATAGTTATGTAGATACATGGACAGATAAATAGAGGGATAGATAGATAGATAGATAGATAGATAGATAGATAGATAGATAGATAGATAGATAGAATGTTCCTCAATTTTAATGGCTTCATGGTTACAGTGTAGCAGGAAAAGTTGCTCATTTGTTATTCTTTTTAAAAATTGTTTTGGGCTGAGGCAGGAGAATCGCTTGAACCCGGGAGGCGGAGGCGGAGGTTGCAGTGAGCGGAGATCGCACCACTTCACTCCAGCCTGGGCGACAGAGCGAGACACTGTCTCAAAAAAAAAAATTGTTTTGGATATTCTTATTTATATTTCCATGTAGTTTTTAAATATAAAGTTCTTGATATTTTCTATTTTTTTTATAAGATGGCCAATCAGGTGTGGCCACAAGAAGAGACAGATGAGAGGCTCAGGAAAACAGTTTATTATACTCACAGTTCCTAGAGACAGGAGGCATGTTGCAGCCACATGGAAAAACTCCAGGATTGTCAGGAGGCAGAAGACAGGAGCCCAGGGAAGGTTAAAGCCAAAATCTTTATTGGAGTTTCCACTGGACAGGCAAGGCAGGGCAGTGTAAACCATTTAGGATTGGCCAGTTTGATCAATTTCAGCACGCTCTAATCAATAGGGGTGATCCCTAGTTGTCCGGTCCCTGGCCCTGGGATGATTAAGGCGAGGAACATTGCCTCCTGGGGTGTAGGGGCCAGATAGAGGACGTATAGATAGCTCTGGATTGGTTAGTTTGTAGACCAAAGGTGTATTCCTCCCTGAGCCCTTCCTATCTCGAAATATTGAATAGCCCTGGGAGGGACATTGTCTCCCCAGCCAGAAAGGTCTTATAAGATGTCAAAACATCAATATAGACAAAAAATAGAAGTATATGTATACAGTGTATCTACAATGCACTTGAAAAATTCCGTAGCAAATTTATTGGACTTTCACTGAAATTACACAGTACTGTAGATTGAGAATCAACATTATGATTTTCATCTTCTTTAGTTAAAAATTATGCATTATTTTATTTAAACTAGTCTTATTTTAATGATGAAATTATATATTGCACATTTATTGTTTTGCTTATTCGTACTGGTTAATTGTATTGCCAAAAAAACCTATTTTCTCCTTAAAATTTGTGTTTAATTATACAGACCTACTACTTAGCTATTGATGTTTTCCTCCCGTTTTAATGAGAAATGAATTACATACAATAAAACTCAGTTTGTTTAGATTTGCCATTGTGTACAGTCATGTGACAGATACAGCAGAGATTATAAAGATATTAAATACATATCTGTTTTTTAAAATGAAGTATTAGGAAATTTGGACTAACTCATACCATGGCAGGCAAAAATAAATAAATAAATAAATACATAAATACATAAATACATAAATAAAAATTTGAAAGAAATAAAAGCACTAAATGGTATTTGTTATAGATTGATAAGATTTAAAAATACTAGGATTATTCTGGATAAGAACACTGTCAATTACATGTGTCGCAAATACAGCAGGTCCTTGAATTAATGTTGTTTCATTCCATGTCGTTTTGTTACAATGTTGATGCGGCTGGGGCCACAATGTGGAGTTAGAACGCTCTCCCACGCCGCCACGGGTTTTCTCCAGGCACTCTGGTATCCCCCACCTCCCAGAGATGTGCACATTAAGTGAACTGGCGAGACTGAACAGTCCCAGTCTGAGTGAGTGTGGGTGTGTCAGTGGTGACAGAGATCCGAGTTACCCCATTACTGATATGCGTCCATAGCAACTTCAGTCCTTGCCTCCTCAGAAGAAAGAATTGGAATGAGGGGCATAAATCAGAGTGAATGAGGCAAGTTTCAGAGTAAGAGTGGAAGTTTACTAAAAAGCCTTTAGAACAGGAAGGAAAGGAAAGACCGCTTGGAAGGGATCCAAGTGGGCGCTTGAAGGTGGAGAGAAAAGAGAGAAAGATGGGGCCTTCAACCTTGCTCCTGAGACTTTATAGGCTCGCCTCTTTCCCAAGACTCTCCCTTTAAGATGGGCTTTCCGCATGCGCTGTGCCCACCTCACCCTTGGGAACTGAGCATGCGCATTGTTTTTAGGGCACTTACCCAGACGCCCATCTGAGGCTTTTCTCCCCTATTCCGATGGAATGTGTCCCCGGAAGCTGATACTTCGCCATTTTTTTTTTTTTTTTTTTTTTTTTTTTGTCTCTTAACAGGCGGGCTGAGGAAGTTGCCTCTCTCTGGCGCCTGCATTCAATGAACGTTTGTAATGTTAGCAGGTGTGGACCTTGAGGAGATTTTCTCTCCCTGGCTGCCCAATTATCATTTTTAGAGAGGCAATGCGATAATTGCTGAACGATGTCACCTGACATTCCTAGCGGGTGGGAGAGAGCCCTCTCCTGCCCCGCTCATTGCCTAACTACCTGTAACAGGTGTGTGGGTGAGTGCTCCCTGTGATGGAACGGTGTCCTGTTCAGGACTGGGTGCCACCTGGCACCTTGAGCTGCCAGGACCGGCTCGGGCTGCTCGCGATCCCAAACTAGAACAAATGGGTAAATATCTTGCTTGATTTTTAAAATCTTTCTTTAATATACGAATAGCTCATATTTGTTCCAGTGTTTAATACCAGAAGTGTTTCGGGTCTTTATTTAGAAGTTTGGTGATGTTTTTGCAACCAGAAATATGCTGTAGGAACTTAACTCTTGTTGATATCAACTAGCCTATGGGCAAATAGTTTCTTTATACCTAGTTTCACTTAAAGTTGCAGTTGCCAAGAACCTAGTACATAAGTGAGGACTTACTCTATCGTCTTCCATTCTGCAGCTTATTATTATTATTATTATTATTATTATTATTGAGACGAAGTCTCACTCTGTCGCCCAGGCTGGAGAGCAGTGGCGCGATTTCAGCTCACTGCAACTTCCACCTCCCGGGTTCAAGCCATTCTCCTACCTCAGCCTCCCGAGTAGCTGGAACTACAGGCACCCGCCACCACGCCTGGCTAATTTTTGTATTTTTAGTAGAGACGGTGTTTCGCCATATTGGCCAGGCTGGTCTAGAACTCCTGACCTCAGGTGATCCACCCGCCTCGGCCTCCCATAATGCTGGGATAACAGGCGTGAGCCACCGCGCCCGGCCTTTGTTTACTTTTTTAGTGGTACCATTTGATAAACGGACATTCTGGCTTTTTGTTGTTCAATTTCTAAATATTTTTATGACTATTGCATTTTGTACCTTATTTAGCAATTATTTTCCTACTGGATATTTTCTGTATTCTAATTCTAGAAGTTTTGTTATTTTGCCTCAGATTTAGATCTAGAAATCACTTGTAATTAATTTCTGTATATGGTGTGATGTAAGAATTAAGGTCCATTTTTCCCCCTCAACGGACCAACCTCATTTATTAAAAGACTTGTTCAGTGGCACCTTCTTGATCAAAAATTAAATGGTTTATGTATGCTTGGATCTGGTCTTTTATTTTATAGGTGTATTTGTATATTTTTTAAAATATACGATTTTAATAAGTTTAACTTTAAAACAAATTTTGATATTTACGCCTTTCCCCCTACATTTTTGGCTTTTCCATCTTTTTTAGGATTATTTCATAGATTTACACACGTATGTCAACATACACACTTGGATTTTGATTGAAATCACGTTCAAAATGTATATTGATTTGGGAAAAATGGGCATGTCTTGCATTATTGAGTTCTCCAATATTTAAATATGATATGTACTATTATTGATTTAGGTCTTCTTTGATTACCCTCAATAATGTTGTGTAAATTGTAATATAAATTGTTGTCTAAGTCTTCTATATATTTCATTGTATTTTATCTTACATATTTGATTTTTTGGATGCAATGATAAATATCTTTAAAATTTTTCATAGCCTATATATTTCTGAAATATGAAATACAAGTGATTTTTGTACTACCTTGGTATTTAGCAAAACTGCTAAACTAGCATTATTTTTAATAAGTGGCCTACTGATTATTTTTGATACAATATATCAATCTGCAGATATGAGTATTTTAATATACTTTCAAACCTCCATAACTTTGGTTTCTCTTTCTTGACTTACTGCAGTGGCTACAGTGATCACTAAATGTTGGAAAGAATGGTTGCTTATACAACCCCTCTAGGTTTTTTTCTAGATCCAAGTGAAGAAATTTAGTCTTAATTTTAGTTGTTTTTTTAAATCAATAACTGATATTGAATGTTATCAAAGGCCTTTTCAGCAGTTGAGATAATAAAATTATGATTCCTCCTTAACCTGTAAATGTGGTGAATTATGTTGCAATTACAATGAACATGAAACTTCCCATTCTTTGATAAATCTGTTGATTATATGTGTTGTTATACTTACTGCTTTAATTTGGTAATTTTTAAAGGATATTTAAATCCATATTCAATATTAGGATTAAATTTTACCTTCCTTTTCTCATCTGTCTTTATATTTTTATACCACAGACTGATAGTGATGGTTGACTTGGAGTGTAAACTCGAGTGAATTAGGAGACACTCAGATAGCTAGTAAAGTACTATTATTGGTGGGTTTCTCTTTTACCGAAAAAGAAACCCAGGTCGTTTGATATTTGATTAGAATGCGTGGGCTGCCCCAGGTGTGTCTGAGAGCCTGTTTCCAGAGTAGATTGGCATTAAGTCCCGGGACTTAATTAGGGAAGATCTGCTGTCAGTGTGGGCAAGCCCCAACCAATCTGTGCACAGAGTGAGTGGAAAATCTGCCCTCAATATGGGCGGGCACCTTCCAATTGGCTGACAGAGTTAGGGAACATCCACCTTCCATGTGGGCAGGTGCCATCCAATCAGCTGTGGCCTAGATGGAAGGACAAGGCAGAAGAGGGTGAATTCCCACTCTCCTGGTGCCAGGTTATACTTCTCCAGCTCTTGAACCCCAGAGTTCCAGTTCCTTCTGCCTTTGATCTTAGGGACTGGGCACCGCGGCCCTGGGCCCTAGGGCCTGAGGCCTGGAGATGAGAGCCATACTGTTGGCTTAGAGGTTGCCTGAGGCCTTGGACCTGGCCTGAACCCGCTCCCTTGAATATCCAGTTAGCAGAGTGGCAATGCTGAGTTTTCTCTGCTTATGCTGATATTTCTCGGCATACAGAAGCCAGTGAGCCACTTCTTAACAATCCTGTCTCATCCTTCTGTCTATCCTAGTGGTCCTGTCTCTCGAGAACCATCACTAAAACGCTGAAGTTTTCTTTTATGAAATGTTGTAGTTAGAGGGCTAATGTATTTAATATTAATACAACAGTGTTTAGGTTTCCTAATTACTTTTGCCAGTTTTAGTAAGTCGTGTTTTCTAGAAGTTTTATGATTTGAAATAATTTTCAAGTTTATTGGTATCGTGTGTTCTTCATATCCATTTATAATTGTTTAAATTTCTGTCTCATCCTAGTGACGCCTTTTTAAATTTCCTTTTTTTGGTAATTTCTCACCATCTAATCAACTTCTTAGAGAATTATAAATGTTATCAGGCATTTCTGTAAACCATTTTAAACTTTGCTCATCTTTATTGTGTGTGCTTTATATTTTATTCATTTTCGATTTTTGTATTTTATTTCCTCCACAATTTAATTTTAAATTTGTCATTCATCTGTACCTTCCTAATTTAAGAGTGTTGGATAGATAATAACAGCATTCTTTCTTTCTTAATACAGACATTTAAGGTTGTATATTTCCCTCACAGCAAAGCTTTAGTTGCACACAAAAGCTTTTTATTAACATCAATTATATTCATTTGAAAACATTTTTTGATTTTTATTTCTTCCTGAACCATGGGTAATTCAGAAATTTGATATTTGTTTTTCTGTTTCCAAATATGGGGGTGCATTTTAAAGGGATCTTTTTGTGGTTAAATTCTGTCTTAATTGTACTATACCTAGAAGACGTACTCTAAATATTTTTAATCATTTGAAATTTGCTGCCCTTAGCTTTGTGATCTACTATATAGTCAATTACTTTAAAAATGTTTTATGTACACTGGAATAGAACTTGTATTCTATAGAAGATGGATGTAGTGCTCTACATTTTCCAGTGGGTCAAACTTGTTCGCTGTTGCTTAAGGATTCTATATCATGTCTGATTTATTTTGTCTGTCCTGTCTGTACAGAGAGGAGTGTATTAAAACCCCTCATTATCATATTGAATTAGTCCGAGTCTCCTAGGTATTAATCTTTGCTTTATATTTTATGCCATATTGCTAGGTATATGAATATCTAGACTTACAACTTGTTGACAAAACATTAATGTTTATGAAATATCTCTTTCTCTGGAGTAATGATTTCTACCTTGAATCTAGTTTGTCTGGTATTAATATACTTATACCAATATCTATCATTTTTTTCATGATTTACTTGGTCTCTGCTGTTAATTATAGCTGTTTTACTTCTAAAACATGTATGATGGGTTTTGATTTTTTTTTTTTATCCAGCCTAAGAATCTTTACCTTTTCATTATTGCAGTCCTTCATTGAGAGCTATGTAAGTCCTGATATATTTGGGTTTGAATCTCCAATAGCACTGTTTTATTTGTATTTGTCCTACCTGTTTTCTCTTCTCTTTTCTCCCTGTTAATCAACTGTGTATTTCTTTTAATATTCATTTTTCCCTCATGTTTGGTTGGTACGCATATTTTAGTATTTGTTTAGTGATTACCCTAAAATAACAACTATTCATCTTTGACTTGTCAAAGTTTAATATAAACATTCTTTCACCTTTTGCCAGGTAATGCAAGAATATTAGAACACTTTAACTCTACCTTTCATACTCTTAGAAATTACTATTTTTATTTCACATTTCAATTTGTATATTTAACATTTGAAAACCTCATTACTATTATTGCTTGCTATGCTCAATATTCATTTCAGTTCACCTACCTATGCATTTTGTTGTTGCTCTTTATTTTTTTCTCATATCTGTGAACATCCATCTGGGATCATTTCTTTCTCTCTGTAGAATCCTCTTCAGTAAAGGTTTACTGGCGGAAAATTCTCACAGTTTTGGTTTGTCTAAATATTTCTTTATTTTACCCTAATTTACTTTTGGATATCTTTTTCATGGTATGGACTCCTTATTTGACAGTAATTTTATTTCAGGGTTATTGTTCTGTTGTCTTTTGACTCCCATCTTTTCATTTGAGAGATTAGTTATCAGTGTTTGTGTCACTCTTTGAAGGTGATGTGTCTTCATATTCCTGGCTGCTCTGAGATGGTCACTCTGTCTAGTTCTCAGAAATTTAAATATGCATATATAGAATTTTTAAAATTTTGTTTGCTATATATATACACTTCCTGAATCTGTGGCTTGATACCTTTTTTCAGTTTTGGAGAAGTTAACAACATAATTTCTTAATACATTGTTTCTCCTCATTCTCCCTCTTTCTTTGGGAATTCAAATTATCAGTCGTTAGATATTCTCTGTTGCTGTATCTCTGATACTTCTTTGTTTTCCCTCCATAAGTTTCTCTGTGCTTTATTTTTAGATATTTTAACTTATCTTTTATTAACTAATTTAGTTATTTCTAAGTGTTACTAAATCTACGCTTCAACTCTTGATATTGGTAATTTTGTTCTTTAAATTCCCTTTCAGTTATTTTTTTTCTTTTCTAGGTCTCTGCTAGAAGTGTTAATCCTATGCCTTATTTTCTTGAATATATGTTATATATAGTTCTTTCAAAGTATAATCTTTTCGGGTAACTGTTTTTAGTGCCCATGAGTTTTTTCTTGCTTTCTGTCACAATGTCTTTTTTTCACATGCATTCTTAGTTTTGATTGGGTGCTAGATAGAGCGTGTAACTGAAGAAAGATTTTTGGTCCTAGAATGATGTATTTCTCTGGAGATATAGACGCATATTTATGCTTCTGGCAGGCATTGGGGGATGTTGGTTATCCTGTATCAACTTAATTCTATTTTTGGGACTAAAATTATTCAAAGGTTTCAGTGCCTCTCCAGGGTTTATATATTTCTGGATTATTTTTATTTCTATTATATAGCCTTTTGCTATGCCAGTCCAGGTCACTGCAGGCCTACTCACAAATTCCTGTCCTCCTCTTTCAGTTTTGCCTGTGGTGTGTCTGTTGCAGTTACTGTAGCCGTGGCTTCTTCTTAGAACCCATGTTCATATGGTTTGGAAGCTGATCCTGTTTGCATATATACCTCCAAACCCATTCTATTGCCTTCCCCGAGATAGGTACCACCTGATATCATTAATGAATTATTTTTCCATTTCTGTTTGCCAGAGTTGTGTTTCATGGCTTGTAACTACCTGTTTCTTAATGTCAAAACATCCTCCACTTCTAGAAAACTCCATTTGGTCATGATATGTTGTTGTATTTAGTAAACTTGATTTGTTCAAATTTTATTTAGAAGTTTCATATTTATATTAATGAAATTACTTTTTGTATATATTTGATATGGCTAGAATTTAGGAACATGAAAGTTTTGAAAAATGAGTTGGAATGCTGTCATATTTGTTTAGCCACAAAACCAAAAATGTATTGTAAAATAAATAGAATTATCTGACACCGTCATTCATTTTTTTCAAATTATTCTGTAAAATTCTCACTTATAGTCTAACATGTAAACTTTAAAATCATTCTGTTCAGTTAAATCACAATTTGAGTTTCTGACTGAAATTGTTAATTTGTTTAGGATTGGCATTTTTAATGAAATCTGTTCTTTTCGGAAAGATGATGTTCCTCTGTAATTACTCAGCCTTTTTTCATTCTTTATTAAAGTGTGGTGATTATCTTCATATCAGACCTTATACCTTTCTTTTCTTTTATTTCTTTTTTATTTTTGGTTTTGATCTTATGGAGCTAAGTTCTTTTTTTCCATTTACATTTCAAAGTGCTTCTTGCTGCTACAGAAAGTGTATAGACTTTTACATATTTATTATGTATGTAGATACTTTTTCAAAATGTCTTAGAATTCTAAAAGGTGAAAGCTTGTTAGTTTTTAATTATATATCTTGTGATTTCTAGGTCTTCTCTTTCTCATTACTAATTTGAACAGAAATAGTCAAGTATGTGCTATTTTATATGGTGATTTACACATTTTAAAAAAGCCATTGTCATATAGAGAAATAGCCATTCTCTTCTTATTTTACTTGGAAAACATAAGAGAATGGTAGCTAAGTTTTATATTTTGTGTAACATATTCTTTATATTTTGATATAATAATTTAATAAACTACAACTAAAATCATAACTTAGAAACATCTTTCATTTCTAGAAAACTCTACTCGGTCATGGTATATTGATATATCGTATTAAACTTGATTTGTTAAAATCTTATGAGAAATATTTTATTTATAATTTCACTTATAAATATATATATTTAAAATAGCTGGAATTGAGACGTGAAAATTTTTAAAAATGAGTTTGGAACCTACTATATTTTGATATCTTCCAGTAGTTGAAAAGACATAGATAGATTAATGTTATTTAACTTGTAATAGAAATAACCTGCAAAACTTAATGCTGGACCTCTCTATTTTTGTTAGATATTTAAAGAAAATTTTCCAATTTCCACCATCACTGCCTTATTAGATTTTCTGACATTTTTGGGTCAAATTTGCAAATAACATTTTTCAATAAAATTTAGCATTTCTTCTGGATTTTCAAACTTAATGCCATCAAATTGCATGGAATATTCTTTTCTGATACTTGGAACACTTTCTGGATTTACATATCTATATTCCTAAAGCTGTTTATTTGGATTTTTCTTTTTGCTCTATCAGGCTTGTGAAGAGATTTTTTTTTTTTTTTTTTTGCTAAAAAGCTAGGATTTGTTTTACTTATTTTGGACTACATCTTTATTCTTTTCTATTTCATCTGAAAACACTTTCCTAATTTTCTGTTTCTTCTTTTGTTTATCTTTACATAATAATTTTGTTCTCATGTTACATACATAATTCCTTATCAGTCTTTCTTTTTAAATAAAATAATGTCTGGCTTTAAAGTTCTTTTTTATACATCTTTCTTTCTATAGCATATAATTTGATGTGGTTTAGGTTTTTCATTAATTGTTGAATGATTTATAGTTGTGTTTTTATTTTCCATGTGCTTCAAGAATTATTTACGGAGCAAAGCTAATGTTGGCTTTTGGGATCAAGCCAAAGCCACCAAAATTAATATTATTTCCATCTTTTTCTAGTAACTCAACTGAAAAAAGGTTGTGAGAATTGAACTCTCCCTTCCAGTTTTGGTTCCCAGGTCCCAAGCCTCTCTGGTTAAAGGAGTGGGGGTGTGGGGTGGGCCGTGGTGGGGAGGGCAGACTTATCTTGTGGAGACTGGCAGGGCACTCTTCCTCTGAGACCACGGGTGCCAGCAAGCTCAAGCTGCCTCCCTTGTTCTCTAACAGGCTTCCAGAATTGGAAGGTTTTTCCTGTTCTCTCCTTTCAGGAATTTAAGGCCTTAGAAATGCTCTCACTTATTTCTTGGTCTAACATTAAGTTTCTGTTCTTCAAGCTGTTCTAGCATGGAGTTGGGAGGAAAAGACTGTCATGAAAAGCATTCAGCGAGCTGTCCTCAGTAATCCATATTTTTCTCTTGAAATATTTTTGGAAACGCAGCTAATTATCATCTCTTTCACTACCGTTGTCTTAACTGAAGCCCTTATTAGCTCTATCTTGTCCTACTGAAATTATTTCACCACTGGAGTGTCTCCTGCTTATGTCACCTTAAAACCCATCTGTCCCCCATACTGTCAATGTTATTTTTTAAAACAAAAAAGTTATCTTAAAAACTTTTTTTTACCACAACTTTCAGGGGTTTTTACTGCTTATGCAATCAGAATAAAGTCCAAATTCCTCAGGATGGTATGCAAGCCCCTTCAAGCTTGGGTGGCCTCTCATAAAAATATGATCTGATACTCCCCCATGTCACTTCCTCCTCTAGTGCGTGTGTCTGCACCACTTTCTGTAGCTGGTGCACTGACTCCATCACAGCCCACATGTGAAAAGCTCCAGATTAGTTACTCTTTTCTTGGGTTAACATTTCGGATTTTTATAATTGGTTTATTCTAACATGAGGTTCAGCTATGGCCATCAGGTATTTTTGGTAATAATGTGTTTCTGCATCCTTTCTTTTTAAAACTAGCCTAGATGATCTCTCATGTAAAAGACAGTGTCTGCCCTTCACACCAAAAAGTATGGAAGTTTAGAGGAGTACATTAATTTTGAAGTAAATTAATAACAGATGCCCATTTTGTTATGTTACACATTTTCTCTACTTTGTATTTAATTCATTACTTCTGAAGCATGGCAAAAATTAAGCGGCACATATACAATAAATAATAAACTAGAGTATAAAATGGATAAAGCACTAGGATTAGTCAACAAAATAAATCTTTCCAATTAAAATCAATCCACAAGAAGCCCATCATCAAAAATAATCAGAAGTGATAATCAGCCATTTAGCACAAACGTAAATTTGTGGCTGCCACAAAATACAGCAACTGGGCCTAGTGAGAAGCTTGATGTGTTTGTAGCCAAGAAATTAGGCACTTGTTTCCATATTGCTCTTGTTGGAAAAAAGATAAACGTGAGAGCCCAGCATCTGTGGTTCAGAGTTGCCAAGCACATCCACTGAGTGACCATTCTCTTGGCTTAAATAATTAAACATATTGAAAGGGGGTGCAGAAGTAGACCAACTCCTGCATTGCCAGCAGGAGGAGATGTGTGGGCCAAGCATGTATCACACTGCAATATAACAGCCAATTAGTTGTGTAATTGCATTTTGCCAATAAAAAGGCAACATTGTGTTTGGAATTCTGCAAATTTCATGTGTCTCTAACAGCATTGATTACAGTGTATAAAAAGGTGAGAATACCGACTTTTTGTTGTTTTGTTAAAAAATAATTGATGACTTTAGAAGATAACAATTTAAACATGAAACAGGACAAACCACTATGATTAGCTTTAGTACAAGGAAATGAAATGGCAAAAAAATTTTTGCTGGTCGACAGGATGTTAGGAAGTTAGGAGAAGGGTGATCTTGTGACTCTTGCAAGTAAAATCTATTGCCTTCATTTATGAGGAGGAGAGGAGTGATCTTTTTGTGTAGAAGAATAATTATACCTGTAAACTACATAAGTATCCAGGATAAGATAAGGCAGCATATTTATTTTCAAGTGGAATTACCTCCACTTCTCTCGTTTCACGCAGGAATCATTAAGGCCAAAGCAGAATGTGGAAAAAAGGAAGAAAGGTGACAAGAAGTGTAACATGTGGAGACTTATACCAGACGAGCAATATCCCTAAATTTTGAGTGGTTTTGCATTGTCTCTGTAATTGTAACTGAAGTATTAGGCCAGAAATAAAATTGAAGAGTAATTTAGAGAAATATTTGCATATCATCTAGTGAGAAAATTTGTGACGCTAGACACGTTAAAAAATCTTACGTTATTTTTCAGATGATCTGCATGGTGGCATATCTGATTTATAGCCCTTTATTCCCTTAGGCCATCGTTTCTTAAGTGTAGCCTTCAGAACACTAATTTACAGGATGTTAATATACCCCAGGCGTAAATGGTTCTTTGCACAAATAGATTTTTTACATTTCAAGATGGATGAAGGTAGATAAAGTTATTAGTGTAATACAGCTAACATTATGCTCAATGGCAAAAAATTGAAAGCCTTCCCTCTGAGATCTAAAACAAGACAAGGATGCCCAGTCCTGCCACTTTTATCCAATATAGTATTAGAAGTCCTTGCCAGAGTAATTAGGCAAGAGAAATAAATAAAAGGCATTTATGTAAGAGAGGAGGAAGTGCAACTGTCAGTTTGCTAATGGCATGTTCTTATTTATAGAAAACCCTAAGAGATCACAAAAAACTATTAGAACTAATAATTAAATACAGTAAAGTTGCAGGCTACAGAATCAACACACACATTTGTAGTTTTTGTACAGTATCAAACTATACAAAAGAAGTAAAGATATTAATCCCATTTACAACAGCTACAAATACAACTTAGGAATAAATTTACCCAAGGAGGTGAAATACCTGGACACCGAAATTGAAAAACACAGCTAAGTAGAAAGATAATTCATGTTCATGGATTGAAAGAATTAAGATTGTTAAAAATTCCATTGTACCCAAAGAGACCTACAGATTCAGTGCATCCTTATCAAAATTCCAATGTCATATAATAGAACTAGAAAGAAAATCCTAAAATTTATATAGAACTACAAAAGACCCCAAATAGCTAATGAAGTCATGAGCAAAAAAAAAACAAAGCTGGAGGCATCATATTCCCTGATTTCAAAATATACTACAAAGCTGTAGCAACTAAATATGGCAGCAGTGGCATAAAAATTGACCAGTGGAATAGAAAACAGAGCCCAGAAGTGAGCCACACATGACAGTCAATTGACTTTTTTAGAAAAATGTCCAAGCACATAGAATAGGTGGACCGTCTCTTCAATTTTTTTCCGTCTTCACAGCCACCACTATATCCAAAGCTATAATCAGCTGTCACTAGACTACAACAAAAGTTTCCTTACTGTTTTCTGTTCCTTTTGAAACACAAATGTGACTCATGTTGTGCAATGGCTTCTCTTTGCTCTGAGGATAGAACAAAATTCTCATCTCAGTTACAAGGTCCTGTGTGGCTTTGCTCCTCCTTGTCTTCTTAATCTGTCTCTTTCCTCCCGTGCTTCCTTGCATCCAGCTATGATGGCACCCTTTCAGAACTTTCTCAAATTCACTATGCTCCCTCCTTCCCTGGGCTCTTTATACTTGTCATTACCTCTATCTAGAATGTTCTCCCTGTTAGTTCTCTTTTCCTATTTAACAGTTGCTCATACCTCAGAACTCAGGTGGTGGTATTTTATTGGAGAAGCCTTGCTTGATCCCTAGACTAGGTTAGTGTCTTCTGTAATCTCAAAGAACCAGATTCCTTTCTATTATGATACAAAGCTCACATATTACAAAAAAATCTGTTTTTTTTTTTATAGTCATCTCATGCAATAAATTCCAACCTCTATGAGAAGAGTCTTATTGGTCATTGCATTCTAGGAACCTAGCCCTAGGGCTGAAAAATGATGGGTTTACAACAGATATTTTAAAATAAAACAATATATGAATATATGGATAGCTTTAATGTGAAAGCAGAGATACCTGATAGACTGAAATCTTTATACAGTTGACATTTGAGCAACACAGGTTTGAGCTGTGGGGGTCCACTTTTACATTGACCTCTTGGATATAAAAATCCACACGTGCTTAAATCTCTTATTTTAAATGGCATAGTATTTATGTGTAGTCTGTGCTTATCATCTTGTATATGTTAAATCATCTCTAGATTACTAATAGTACTCAATACAATGTAAATGCTATGTCAATAGTTGTTATACTGTATTGTTTAAGCAGTAATGACAAGAAAAAGTTTGTACATGTTTATGTGCAGACACAGTTACCTATTTTTTCCAAATATTTTTGATGCTCAGTTGGTGGAGTTGATGGATGTAGAACCCATGAATATGGAGGCTGACTG
The DNA here is from genome assembly GCF_000001405.40 of Homo sapiens. Taxonomy (NCBI): domain Eukaryota; kingdom Metazoa; phylum Chordata; class Mammalia; order Primates; family Hominidae; genus Homo; species Homo sapiens. The sequence continues at coordinate 9,865,774 of NC_000010.11, read as the reverse complement.
TATTGTTGGTGGTGAAGTTTTATTAGATGACCAGTTCCTTGCAAATGCTATGCAGGTATATATTGACATAAAAATCTGATACTTTTAAGTAGGATTCTAGTCAATAAAAAAATATTAAAATACCTATCTCCATAGCTGACCATCTTGCAAACATTTGACTACAAATTATAATATTTTATTGTTGCAAGTTTTCTTATTTTCATTATATAAATGGTCACACCATTTGTATAGACAGGCATACACATATGTAATGCACATCGTCCTATTAGCCAGAAGTTTGAGTTCAAATTTAGTGAATAATTTAATTTCTCTTATATTTTAGTGGTAATCTAAAATGTTGGCAATATTCAGTTCTTTTGTGGTAGAAAAAATAAACACATTTTACTTATAAAAACAGACAGTAAACAAAATTCTTAATTATGTTTATTACTCTTCATAAAGAAATATATGAAAAATTCATCAAATAATTTAAAAGTTATTAGATCATTAGTTTTATATTAGATTCAAAATATGTCTCTCATATGGTCTGTTTTCCATCCTGAAGGAGAAAGAGAGAGAGAGAGAAAGAGAAAGAGACAAATATGTCTTTACATAGGAAAAAACTCAGAAACTTTTATAAATATGGTTTAAAATTACTTGAAAATATAGAATTAGTATGTATAAGAATTAAATAATTTCAATAATATGTAATACCTTCGAGGGAACATATCTTGGATATATTATATAATACTTTCAGTAAATATTTTTAAGTTATTTTATGATTCTATTGTTATGTGGAATATTAAACCAATTTTGGTAAACTAAGAGAATGTATATTTTAATGATTTCCCCCATGTAATATGTAGTAAATCAGATTTTGTACTTTTTTTTGCTCTTTTTGCAATATTTTCTTTTTTGGAGGAAATCTTAGATTTTTTCCCCCCTTTATTTATTCACACCCATTATCCTTATGGAATATTTCAGATATTATGGTGAGAGACAACTGCACTCTGAGACACTGGCATAGTTAACACAGACCAGATTTTTGTAATTCTGAAATAAAGGGTAGAAATTATCCACCCTTTTGGAGCTGCTGTACCAGAATAGCTTTTGAATATCTTTGTGAAGAATGACTTGTTGAAAGATATCATAGCAGAAAAGGAGAAAAATTGAGCTCTTGGGGGCACTGCAAGACCTTTGGTTGGATCTATAAAAGGAAGAGACTTCTCTTTAAAGAGTTTCCCAAAAGGTCTTGAGCATTAGCAATGTCAATTTTGAAGGGAATGCCACGAGGGCTTTCCCTTTGCACTTGAAAAACCCGTCTCTAGGCCTATTGTCATATCTTATAGCTGTATTTCATAATTTGTAAGGTTATGGGAATAAATGTTATAATTATTTAATGTTTATTAGACGTCTAGATAGAATATACTAAACTACACCCCTTTTCAAATCTCATACTGTAACTTGAATACAGTGGACATACATGAGAGAAAGAATGAGCTTTCAAATTGGAAAAAGATCTATAGGAAGGCTTTATAACAGTTATCAAGTTATCAAGTTTCTGCTTTTTTCCTGCCTGGAATGTGCTTTGCTGGCTACAGCTTCAATAGCTACCTTGAGACCTTGAGATGAAAAGTTCATCTTGAACATGAAAATCAATTAGTAGAGACAGCGAAAGCAGGAAAGATGAAAGAGCTTTGTCTCAAGCCACGAGACTAGCCCCAAACTACTATACCAGCTTCCGGAATGCAAGTTATGTGAGTGGGAAATAATGTGTGTGGTATGTTCCTTTGCTAGGATGGCCAACAAAGTACCACAGACTGGTTGGCTTAAACAACAGAAATTTATTGACTGACAGTTCTGGAGGCTGGGAGTCTAAGACCAAGGGGGCAGCAGGGTTGGGTTTGTATGAAGCCTCTCTCCTTGGCTTGCAGGTGGCCACCCTCCTGTTGCCGCTTCACATGGTCTTTCCTCTGTGCGTGCGCAGCTCTGGTGTCCCTCTCCATGTCCTAATCTCTTCTCAAAAGGACACCAGTCATACCTCACTTTACCTTCGTCACCTCACCTTATCTCCAAGTACAGTCACATTCTCAGGTCCTGGGAATGAGGATTTCAGCATGTAAATTTTGCGGAGACACACGTCAGCTCCTAACAGTGAGTATAGATGCTACTAGTTTTTTTCGGTTTTGGGAGCTTTTGTTGAGACAGACTCTTGTCCTGTTGCCCAGGCTGGAGTGCAGTGGTGCAATCTCAGCTCAATGCAACCTCTGCTTCCTGGGTCAAGCAATTCTTGTGCCTCAGCCTCCCAACAAGCTGGGATTACAGGCATGTGCTATCACGCCGGCTGGTTTTTGAATTTTTAGTAAACATGGGGTTTCACCATGTTGGAAAGGCTAGTCTCAAACACTTGGCCTCAAGTGATCTGCCTGCCTTGGCCTCCTGAAGTGCTGGGATTACAGGAATAAGCCATTGTGTCCGGCCCATGTTTCTAGGTTGTTTAAATTACTGTTTGGTTCTTAGCAGTCACATGTAATTACTAACGAACACAAATAGTACATATAGACATTTATTTATAGATGGGAAGGTAATCAATCTCAGAGAGTCTTAAAACAGATATAGCAGAGGTTTCTTATGGGGGATTAAGCTATTTGCTTGCAGTATAAAACTTGATATTTTATTTGTTTAAAACCAGATGTATATATTACGTTGATTTAAAATCTAAAGCAAATTTAAAAATAACTATGACTAAAAATTATCCATAAAATTGGTGAAACTGTTATGTTCTATTTCAACAGCTTATTTTTAGGAAACACAGTTGAGAAGGCATGATGTCATGATAAGGGACATGACAGTCATGATACTGTTGTCCTTGCTGATAAGGCCAGCACACCATTTTAGTATCCTGAAGAAAAAACAAATCCATGTCACTTATATCTGATTTTAATATAGTGCCGATGAGTAAATAGCCTGTGAAGGACTAGATTATACAATTAAACCAAACTGTAAAAAAAGTGCGAGTATCATAATTTATCAGTAGTAATGCTAAAAGCAAACATAAATATATAATAGTGTATAATTAATATAATATACCATTGGTAATTATATACTATTAATTAATTATATACTATTAATAATTATATACAAAAATGTTGGCAAATAGTATATTTTTTCCACTGATGTGATCAATCTATGAATTATCTAGTGATTAAGTTATTTATAGCTTTGTTTTTAATTTTTGCCTTGATTAAATTTGATATATCTTTTTTACTTTGAGTCAAAAATTGAATGCATTCATATTATTTTTATATTTTCTTTTTTTATTAAAAAACTTTTCTTCTATTTTGCTAGGTTAAAAAGTTAAAAGTCTACAAAAGTACTTAGATTAGATAACATGTCTTTGATGAAAGACATAGAAATGTTACTACACAGGGTACACCTAACCTTTTCCCTTCACTCTCTCTTCTGCCTCTACACATCAAACATCCGTGGGTTAAAAAGCCCATTTGGAAATTACTTTTATTAAAATAAAGAACCCTCATACTCTCTGTGATTGGCCAATTTCCCCTTGTTTTCAAATTTTATCCTCATTTCTCTACCATTTCTACAGATAAGAAAACTGTGGTTCAGAGAGATTAAGAAGTTTTAGGTCATATAATTTGCAGATAATTGGAATCAAGATTCAGAATCTGAGGTTTTGATTCCAAAACACACAAAAAAATAGAAACCCTCAAAGAATGTGCAATCTAATGAAGGAGACAGGAAAGTATAATCAATTGTGGTGAACATCAGTATGATAAAGGTCCTAGGAGTAGACAGAGAGCAGATGATCTGAGGTGATTTGGTAGGTGAAAGAAATTGTGAGGAAAACATTCATGAGGTTGTGGGGGGAGGTGACAGGGAAGTGATTTGAGTTAAGGACAACAGCATGAACAGATTAAAGGTAGGAAAGTAAATGTCATTTTGGACAAAAGCCAATAATTTGGCCCAGCTGAGGCATCCTGTTGAGAGGGAAGAGGAATAGAAGCTGCTGAGGTGAGCTCAAGCCATAGGTTGAAGTTCTATCGTGAGGATTCATACTTGCTGTGCTAAGGAAATGGAACTTTCTTATTGAAACAAGAAATAGCATATGAGCGTTCTTTTTAAAAAAATAAGTGTGACTTGATTAGACCTGAATTACAAAGAGATACGTATTATAGCATTATGGAATATAGATTCTAGAGGGGAGAAAATAATGCAACCAAGGAGTCCAGGTAGTAGAATGTAATAAGAGTCAATATGAGATAGTGAAGTCATAAACCAGGGACACTGATTAGGAGAGATGGAGGAGATTGGAAACATTTTAGGGTTAAAATGGACAGGACTTTCTGATTAATGAAGAGGGAGGAAAAAGCTATATGATCCCCAGTGAAGCCATCAGGTCTTTAATGGCAGCAGGTTTGGGATATGTTGAATTTGGATGCCCTCGTGATCTTTAGGCTGCAATGTCCAGTATGAAGGAGAAAGTTGCAGAAGGTAACTGAGCTTTGGGACTCATCATCTTATTTAAAATTGCAAACTCATGAAAGTCCTTGACTGCATTTTTAATCCATTGTAATGTATTTCATTCATTTTAAGCTATACTTTTTCACATGTGAACAGCTCTGAAATTGAGATGTGCCTTACAGTCTATAGAATATTGCAGTTTAATTGTTCATAAGATGCATAAAACTGTGATGCATCTAATAGCCAATAGGATTTTACATTTGATGAAATGCCCCTATCCTTTCATTTCCTTATTTATTGATTTTTAACTTCCTTCACTAGAATGTAACCTCCATGAGGGCAGCATTTATGTTTTGCTTTCTTTTCTTTTCTTCTTCCATTTTGTTCTGTTCTCTATCTCCAGTGCCTAGAACAGTCCTGATACATAGTAGGTGTTCAAGAAATATCTGTGGAGTGAATGAATGTCTTGGGCTATTTTCCTCAGTTGAAAGTGGGTGATTTCATCAAGGGAGAGATTAAATATATGTAGGAAAATGGAGAGAACCAAATGGAAGTAACTTTTGGCAAATTCAGGAATTTGCCAAAGATCTGCACAGGATGACTGGGTTGGGGAGCACCCCCCGACTCAGAAAGTAGATGAAGTGTCAGGTGCTTACCTCAAGAGAGTGGCATATCACACGCCTCAGTCATTTTGAGTTTAAGAATCACTAAGCAACAGTTTAAGGAGTTTCCTTTTTTATTGTTTGAGAGATTTGTGAGACAAATTTTAGTGTAGACTTAAGCAAGAAGTTATCCTAATCACAGTTTTAGATAAACTGTAACAGACTAGGTAGTAATTTCATTCAACACTGCTTTCTCTCCAACCTAAAGCTATGAAACACATTCAAAAGATACAGACACACACACATACACACACACACACAGAAGTTAACACATGTGAGAAAGAAGTTCTACTCAAATAATCAAACCTTTCTCAAGGGAAAAGGATGGTGTATTTTGTGCTACTGCAGAGGATGCACTTGAAACCAACAGTCATGAGGGAAACATTTTGACTCAAAAGAGCTCTGATAGCTAGAGTTGTTCATCTTTGGCAAGGGCTCATGAAAACAGTTGTGAAATGTTTAAGCAGAGGCTGAAGAGTACTTGTAAGGGATGCTATAGGGCTCTCTATGTAACCTCATTGCCTATAATATGTTTAATACAAGTTAGGACAGTACATGCTCAATTCCCCCTTAATTTCAGGGGGAAGGTGTCATTACATATAAAAATTGAATGACTCACATGTGATTTTTCCAAGGATGTTAATTGGTGTTGCCTCCAAGCAGTGCAAAGCACACCTGAGACAGTGAACCTATAGGCCACAGAGAAGTGCAGCGCTGTCCAGGTCAACTGTTTCCCCCTGGCCTTCCCTTCATACCATTGGCTTCGTGTTCTTCTGCCTTTGTCTTCCTGATCTTTGTAGATTTTTCCCTGTTTCCATTACTCAGCAGCCTCTGCCTTGTTTGGGTTTGAACAGTCTCTCTAGCCGCTTTGTACCCCAATACTATTTTAATGTGTGCTTTTGCGGAACAGAAGGTTTTGGGGAACGTGTCTGTCACATTTACAGCATTGAGTAGGAGGCTGGAGAGATGGACTCTAAAGTTATCTCCAACTTGGAGTTTCCACGATTATAAAAGTGTCTGCCTAAGCAGACTGAATGGACACCAATCATTAATTTGTGAACAATAGAAATCAGGGCTGACTGATATTAATTTTTCATCTGTAAATATCTGAAAGTTAATATTAATATTAACTAGTTTGAAGTTTGCTACATTTTATCATTAAGACCATTTATAAATGAAATCTGTCAGCTTTCATTAAAAATAAAGTTTGCCAAACAGGCTAGGGACATCTCTAGGATTTTGGGCTGTCAGACAGACAATTGGTATATCTGGAAATGAGCTCAAGAATGTGGGTTGTTCTGTAAGATATTGAGCATAGTTCTTTTAATTCTCTGAGAAAAATTGCTGTTTTACTGAGAATGTTGGGAAGAGAGCACATACGCTTTACTGTAAGAATGTATTCATTTTAAGAACTTCAGTGTTTGCTCCATTATGGGTCCCTTTCATGTCCCTCTAGTAATGCAGGTATGTACATTGTCTTCACCTATGATATTACTATTATGAGAAAAGAAAAATGACTGACACCTAACTGCAAATCAAATTCTCTAAATTAGCATTCAGGTATTACTTTATTAGTAGATTGTAACAGCTAATTTGTCCTGTGAGCCACAAGCCAGGAGGATTACTCATCTGGTGAGACTGCAAATGCTGACAGCCTTAGTACTCAATGACTTCTTTATAGACTCAAGAATTACTGTATTTCTTCAGCACATGCTTGTTTTCCTATCTTAAAGCAACATGGGGAATTTCTGTCCTGCTCTTTTAATTTACTGATTTCTTCTAACACTGTTTTTGGCAGAATATTTTCCTACTTGTGTGACTTTTGCCAGATGAGAAATAACTACACTATCAAACAAGCAAAAACCATGAAAAAGGCTGCATGTGTAGGTCCCCCTCTGAGCTTTAGGGTCAGAGTCTCTAGGATTGGGGCCTGCTCATAAGTATTTTTGTAATGCTCCCTGGGTTCTGCTGATAGGCAATGCTTGCTAAGAAACCTAATTATTTTCAAAGGGCTTTTCTAGCATTATCACTGTATGACTCTATATATTGTACATTAACATTAGAATAAAGTGTCAAATGAATTCAATAATTAACTTTTTAACAGGTGTAATAGGATTTTAAAATCCAGTTGTGTCTGAGTATTATGATAGCACCAATATGATAGATA